>NT_187383.1:1675402-1872759 GCF_000001405.40 Homo sapiens | reverse complement strand
GAATTCATTAGCATTAAAAGGAGTGGGAGGGAAAAAGGAAAGGAAACTCACAGATTCAACCACAAAGAGCCTCTGGCCTCCTGCGGACTTGGACCGCTCACCCATCACAACTGGGAGGCCCGGGGATGGTGGGGCTTCTGTGCACTTGGTTCCAGGTGGTCTGGGCTGTCCATGTGAAAGCAAACACCATCCTCGTGAGAAGGAACCTCTGTCTTTGGCCTCACGGAAACCCCACAGACACCCTTCCAAGGGCCCCAAGAAGCACACAAAGATATCCAAGTCTGAAAGGGAAGAAGGCACCATGAGTAAGAACCAGCAGACAAGCTAGCAGACACCCGCACAGTCTCCCCATATTATTATACAATTACCAAACAAGACACTACGGTACATTTCAAACCATAATAGGAGAGATGGCCCATGTTCGGTGGCCAAGCATAGCACAGAGCTCCTCACTCCTCCAGGAATTCCACTGAAGGGTGGCAAGTTCTGGAGTTCAAGCCACTGGGTAGGCAACAGGAGTGCAAGTGGCCACAGTTCAGGCGCTGTTGGGCAGAGCAGGGGAGGGGGCGCTCCCAAGGAGTCCACTGGGAGACGCAGGCAGGGGGCTTCTCAGGCAGCCTCACCAGCTTCCCTTCACACTGATCCCCTGTAAACGTGTGTCCAGCCTCGATGTAAGAGGAACAGGGAGAAATTGATTTGCTATTCATAAAATGTGCGCCTCTCTGCGCCTGCGCCCGCGCTGTGCGCCTTTGCGAGGGCGGAGCTGCGCTCTCCTCAGCACAGACCCAGATTGCATCGTGAGGGCGAGCTGAGTTCTCCTCTGCACAGACTTCGGAGATACAGCGAAGGCGGAGCAGTGTTTTCCTCAGCACAGACCCGGGCGGGCGGGCCGGGGGCACCGCGAGGGCGGAGCTGCGTTCTGCTCAGCACAGACCCGGGGTACACCTCGAAGGCAGAGCAGCTTTCTCCTCAGCACAGACCTTGGGGACACTGTCTCCCTTTGAGCAGAATAGGTGAATGAATGAATGAGTGTAATCACATGCCCTGCCTTTCCCTGTTTATCAAGCCTGGCATCACTTTAGAATCTCTTGTTAGGATTTATGATACCCAGGCTTTACCTCAGAAGCTGAGAGTGGCACTCAGGTATAAGCATGTTTTTCCAAGCTCCACAGGTATTCCATAGCGCAGCCATGTTTGAGACAGTGGGGTCTAAGAAACATGTAGAACTAATTAGAATCCTGAAGTGTCTGTGATAAAGGTAATAAGCTTTTTGTAAGATTACAGAGGACATAGGTTAAGTTGGAAAGCCTGAGTGTTGAGATTCCTAGGCTCAGGAATTTTAATTTAAGCAAAGTTAAATGTCTTAACTTGCAAAGACATGAATCTGTAGATTCCAGATTAATGGCAGGTGTGAATTGTACAATAGAAACTGATCTAGCCTACGTGCCTTCTTGGACTGGCAGACTATGTTAATCTTTTTATTTTATGACAAGTTCAACATTATTCCCTTTTGTACTGAATTTTAGATTACTGATTTTGGGCACTCCAAGATTTTGGGAGAGACCTCTCTCGTGAGAACCTTATGTGGAACCCCCACCTGCTTGGCTCCTGAAGTTCTTGTTTGTGTTGGACTGCTGGGTTTTAGGAGTTATTCTTTTTATCTGGTAAGAAATATTTTCATTGCTTCACAGACTGGTAGGAGGTGATTAGATGAAGTCACAAATGTGTCTTGCTCTGTTGTCCAGGCTGGCATGCAGTGGCTTGATCTTGGCTAACTGTAGCCTCTGCCTCCTGGGTCAAGTGATCCTCCCACCTCAGCCTCCCGAGTAGCTGGGACTACATGCGCACACCACCATGCCCAGCTAATTTTTCTATTTTTTGTAGTGATGGGGTTTTGCCATGTTGCCCAGGCTGGTCTTGAACTCCTGGGCTCAAGTGATCCTCTTCCCTCGGCCTCCCAAAGTACTGGGATTACAAGCATGAGCCATTGTGCCCAGCCTAGCTCACTTTTTGACCATTGATTTAAAGAAAAATCAGACTTTTCATTATGCTGAAAAAGAAATCTTTATATCTGAATGCCACTGAGAATGCCACTTGATTTCTTTTCCTTTCTCTCTCTACCATTATTAAGCCTTAGTGGGTATCCACCTTTCTCTGAGCATAGGACTCAAGTGTCACTGAAGGATCAGATCACCAGTGGAAAACACAACTTCATTCCTAAAGTCTGGGCAGAAATCTCAGAGAAAGGTATGAATATGAAAGGGTTAAGAATTTGTGGTATTCTAAAATGTGTGTGTCCTGTGGTGGGAGTTTCTCTCCAAATTCCATGGTGTTTTCTCCTGTCAATTCTGTTCTTATTTTCTATCGTTAGTTTCACACCATTTGAGAGGCACTGGAAATTATTAAGAGCATGCACTCAGGTCCTGGGTCTGCTACTACTTAGCTGTGTGGCCTTAGGCAAGTTATTTAACCTCTGTCTCCAATTTCTTTCTGTGTAAAGGGACCCTCAATAATCCCTACCTTAAAAGGTTTTTGAGGGTTAGGGATAATGTACACAAGTGCCTGGTACCTATTTTAATGAGCAAAATAAATGCACTTGTAACTTTTTAGTTACAAGGTTTCCTTTGAGTAAGCAAGCGTGTAAAAACTAGATGTCTTTAGTTACCTTATATTTTATAATTTATCCTGGCAACTTTAGTTCCCTGAAGAGAAAGTAGAAAATTAAATGTCAAATAACATAACATAGGTGATTGTGTTAAATGTCAGAATATTTAAGGAATAATAATGTTGTAATATACAGGCCAGCGTGCATTTGTTGCTTGCTGGAGTAGTCAAGTTTTATTTCTGACAAGTCTGCAGTTCCAGGGAGCCTCTCCCTGGCTGAGTAACTGTCACCCATCCATCTGTAGATGTCAGGGAGAGTTTGCTGTGCATCCCAGTTATCTTAGAATTGGGTAGAAGTTTAGCTTTAATTAGTTTGACCTCGAGTCTAGCAACAAGAGAGGGAACAGGCAACGAAGAGGTAGTGACTGATGTCCCAGCAGCAGGAGACAGGGAGTGTCATTGTCATTCCTGGTCTTCTCACAGTACTCTGAATACAGAGAATGAGGAAGATTAAGGGGCCCTGTCTGCTGACTCCCTGATGATCTCAGACCCTCTCTGCTCTTTCTGGATGGTGACCTGTTAATTCTGGCATACTGTTACTGATAATATATTTATACTTTTCACTGTGATTTGCCCAATTGTTGCTTTAGCTCTGGACCTTGTCAAGAAGTTGTTGGTAGTGGATCCAAAGGCATGTTTTACGACAGAAGAAGCCTTAAGACACCATGGTTTCAGGTGGGTGTGGGACAGTGCCTGCTAGCATAAAATACATGGGAAGCCCTGCTGCATGAGAGACATGAGACAGAGGACAGAAACATATTTACTTTGTTGAATCTGTTTAATTGTTTTAATGTATTGGGGGAGTATCTTGGCAGATGGGTTACAACCTGTTTTTTTTTTCCTTTTTTGAGACAGGTTCTCATTCTGTCTCCCTGGCTGGAGTGCAGTGGCACAATCTCAGCTCACTGCAACCTCTGCCCCCCGGGTTCAAGTGATCCTCCTGCCTCAGCCTCCCAAGTAGCTGGGATTAAAGGTGCATGCTACCACGCCCAGCTACTTTTTGTATTTTTTGTAGAGATGGGGTTTTGCCGTGTTGGCCAGGCTACAACCTTTTTGATGTTACTCATGGCTGTTGGATGTACAAGCTCACTTTATGTCCTGTTCTGGTTCCACCTGGCTGCCCCGAGTCTCCAGTTTGGCCTGTGTCCTTTTGAGGTCTTGTTCTGGCTCTACCCCAAGCCATGTCCACTGTTCTTCACAGGTGGGGTGCATTCCAGCCATCTTCAACCTTAAATCAGGGAACTGGGGGAGGAGGGCAGCCTCCCTGGGGAGAATCCAGCTATTTCTCAAGCCCAAGTGACTGGGTATAAAGGGTCCCACTGCTTGTTCATTCAGATGAGTAAATGTGTCCTTAGTGAAGGCTGTCACCTGCACCTTTCATCTGTGTTACTGCTGTGCTCCTGCTAGGGTTAGGGGCTGCCATTATTAAATGCTGACCTCATTTGGAACTGCCAAGAGTTGGAAGTACATTGTGGCTTTGCTGGGTTAATCTTTAGTTTTGGAATTAGCTACGGCATTGGGCAGGTTTTTCTGATAGATGTCTGGTCTTCTGTAACGAGCAGTTCCATTCAGCACAGCCATGCCCCTTTCTATTAATTTTCTTTTGGTCTGTGTATTAGTCTGTTCTCACACTGCTATAAAGAACTGCCCAAGACTGGGTAATTTATAGAGAAAAGAGCTTTAACTGACTCACAGCTCCACATGGCTGGGGAGGCCTCAGGAAACTTATAATCATGGTGGAAGGGGAAGAAGGCATGTCTTAATGGCAGCAGGTGAGAGAGCTTGTGAAGGAAGTGAAGGGTGAAGAGCCTCTTATGAAACTGTCAGATCTCGTGAGAACTCACTCACTATCATGAGAATAGCCTGGGGGGAACTGCCCCTATGAGCCAATCACCTCTCAACAGGTCCCTTTCTCAACACCTGGGGATTACAATTTGAGATGAGATTTGCATAGGGACACAAAGCCAAACTGTATCAATCCGTTTTCTGTGGAGATGGGGGACAGAACTGGTAGCTTGAGCTAGAGGCTGTTACTTGAGCTAAATGCTGTTTCTCTGGGGATTACTGGTCCAGGAACTCCTTGGGAAATCCAGCCTCAGCCCCGTACTTCTGGGACTCTGGGAAGACTGTCCCCATTCTCTGTTCTAATCCTCTACACCTAACAGTTTTGCTCAGGCCAGCTCAGGTTGAGAACAACAAAAACTTAAGAAAAAAAAAAGACAGATATATGTGTTTTGGATGTTGCCCTGGAAACTATAGTCTCCCCAGAAGAAATCTGTCAGATGATTTAGCATTTAATAGACCACACAGATTTGAAACAGCAGGAACCTAGAGGAAGGGGGTTTGGAAACAAAGGGTGCCTTTGCATGTGGGGATTTTAATTTTGATGAAAAAGAGAAACATGTCTTTTGGCTCTTTTCATGTGTCCTAATAGGGAAACTCTTGGTTCTAAATGTAGAGGTACAGGAGCTGTGTTCATCTCTAGCAAAAAAACAGAGCTGGCCAGTTGAGCCTGGGAACAGGGTTTGCATCTGCCTGAAATTTATGAGCAAGCATAGCCTATTTTTCTTGTGCTTCTTTGTCTCAAAGAAAACTTATTAACAACCAAGGAGAAGGTGAAGTTCAACTCCGTTGCAGAATCTCCCTGGAATACTCTTTTAGCCACCTTTTGTTTTTGCAGTAAAAGGAGGAATGAGCATTGAATGAAGACAAAGATGAAGACTGACCATCTAAAACATCTGTTAGTGATAGTTTGGGTTTTATTTTGGGAAAATTCAGTGTTTTCACAAAAACCAAATGGTTTTGTGGTTCTGGCGCTGGACTGAGTGTTGGGAATGTGGATTCTGGTCTCTGTTTTGTCATTAACAGAGTGCCCAGTTTTGGGAGCATCCCTTACATCTACTGTCTGCCTCATATTTACTGCCTGAAATAGAGGATTTCTTCTGTTTGCTTTCAAGGGATATTATAATTTAATTTTTATTTTATTTATTGTTGGAGACAAGGACTTCTTCTGTTGCCTAAACTGGAGTGCACTGGTGCAATTACAGCTCACTGCAGCCTCGACCTCCTGGACTTAAGGGATCCTCCCACCTCAGCCTCATGAAGTGCTTGGATAATAGGCACGAGCCACTGTTCCTGGCTAATTTAATATTTTGGAATAATTGTAGACATTATGAAGAAAATCAATGTTTATTTATTTATTGCCTTTTTTGAGATGGAGTCTCACTTTTGTCTACCAGGCTGGAGTGCAATGGTGTGATCTCAGCTCACTGTGACCTCCACCTCTGAGTTCAAGTGATTCTCCTGCATCAGACTCCCAAGTGGCTGGGATTACAGGTGCCTGCCACATGCCCAGCTCATTTTTGTATTTTTAGTAGAGATGGGGTTTCACCATGTTGGTCAGACTAGTCTCGAACTCTTGACCTCAGGTGATCCACCCACCTTGGCCTCCCAAAGTGCTGGGATTCCAGGCATGAGCCACTGTGCCTGACCTGATTACTTGTTTTAAATATAAGCCTGATTAGGCTTGTGACCGCTCTGTTTGGCTTCACTGAAGGGCTGCCAAGAGGTGGACTTTTGAGAGTGACACTGCAAGATAATTGAGATCCTAAGTAAGGCTGTGAGAGGGTGCGGAGAGGAATCCAGATGAGCTTGCTGCTGTCAAATGGCAATGGAGAGCTACACTGAGAAACTCAAAACAGAGTGACCTCAAGTGATCTGCCCTGCCTTGGCCTCCCAAAGTGCTGGGATTACAGGCATGAGCCACTGTGCCTGGTCCTCCTTTCCTTCTTTCTTTCTTCCTCCTTCCTTCCCCCTCCCCTCTCCTCCATTCCTTTCCCCTCCCCTCTTTCATCCCCCCCCCTTTTTCCTTCCTTGCTTCTTTCCTTTCTTCCTTCCTCAGGGTCTTGCTGTCTCACCTAGGCTGGAGTGCAGTGGCATGATCACTGCACCATGACTTTCAGGCTCAAGTGATCCTCCTGCCCCAGCCTCCCAAGTAGCTGAGACTACAGGTGCATGCCACCGTGTCTGGCTAATTTAAATTTTTTTTTTTTTTTTTTTTTTTTTGAGACAGAGTCGTAGTCTTTTGCCCAGGCTGGAGTGCAGTGGTGTGATCCTGTCTTACTGCAACCTCCACCTCTCGAGTTCAAGTGATTCTCCTGCCTCAGCCTCCTGAGTAGCTGGGATTACAGGCATGCACTACCACGCCTGGCTAATTTTGTATTTTTAGTAGAGACGGGGTTTCACCATGTTAGCCAGGCTGATCTCAAACTTCCGACCTCAGGTGATTCGCCCGCCTTGGCCTCCCAAAGTGCTGGGATTACGGACGTGAGCCTCTGTGCCTGGCCTAATTTTTAAATTTTTTTGTAGTGACAAAGTCCCAGTATGTTGCCCAGGCTGGTCTCAAATGCCTGGCCTCAAGCAAATCTCCCACCTTGGCCTCCCAAAGTGCTGGGATTATAGGCATGAGCCACCATGCCCAACCTAGTGTTGTAAAATTTCCATATCCATCAAATTGCCAAATGGTGGAGGACTTTACTGTATCCTCTCTCTTTCCCCACTGTGGTATGCTTGGCTCAGTGGGAGGAGGGGCTGGAGTTGGGTGGGAAAGTACATGAGGCATTGGAGTCAGATAACTCTGGGTCTGTATTCTGCACATGCCACCTGTGAGTGGCTGAGCTGGGCTTCTGGCCAGAACTCAAAGGCCACATTCCTAGTTATAGATGTTCCTTTCACCTTGCTGAAGTTGGGGAGAGCTGCATCAGACCACCTCTCAGGGTTTCCTAATGCAAATCCTTGAACCCTGCAGAAGTAAGCATCCAGAGAGGTGGGAGCTACTCGTATACCCACTGTCTGTGCCCTCCTCATCTCCCGCTCCTGCAGCATGAAACAGCTGTAATGCTTTGTTATGTTTATTGTCTCCCTTTCTCATTAGACCTGAGCTCTGGGATATTGTGGCCTTAAGTACTTCTGAAAATTTGTATGGCATCTGCTGGGTGAATTTTCCTAGGGTGCTGGGCTGGTTGTTAGGACAGCCTGGGTGACTGGCCTCATTCATGGCAGGGGCAGCAGGTGGAGAGTGGTCCTGGAAGGATTTGAGGAGCTGCACGGAGTCAGACCCAGCCCCTGGCCCCCTGATTGTCACCTTTCTCAGGATCTGGGATGCTAATTCAGAAACTCTTGACTGCCGGAGGCTGTGATTGACCCACTGAGAGCTTTTAGGCATGTGGATGTGAGTCAGCCAGGATTGATGGAGCATTGACTGCTAATTTGACTCCTCTGGGAAGGTAGAGGGGGGCAACACATAATGCCTTCGCTGTGGGAGCTTCATCAAGGGGATGATTCTTGGACGGACATCTTTTCCTCCCTCTTTCCACAGGGGCATGCTAGCCCTGTCATTCTAGGAGTTTATTATCCTTCAGACACAGCTACTTATGTTTTTAATTCCCTCACAGGATGAAGACATGAAGAGAAAGTTTCAAGATCTTCTGTCTGAGGAAAATGAATCCACAGGTCTATCCCAGGTTCTAGCCCAGGTATTCGTATTCCTGATGATCACTAAATGTAGTCTAGGCTTAAGGAGCTGATAAGTAAAGAGATGAAATTCAAGATTTTCCTGAGTAATAATTGCTTAACATTGTTTCAGTTATAATGTAGTAGAAACTCTCTTTGAACTTGATTCACTCTAGCACCCTTAGATTTAAAAATGCAGGTTATGTTTAATATCTAACACATAATAGACAGATAAGCACAGCTAGGGATTGTCATCCAAAAGGTCACCTGCAAGGCAATTTCAAAAGACTCTATTAGAGGCTCAAATATAAATTTGTTGGAAAATTAAAATTTGGGTCCGTAGTTGATTCCTTGATTACAATTTTATTCTTTAAAGTTCTTTGTGAGTATAAGTTAATTCCAGTCCTGCTTTTTTGTTGTTGTTGTTGTTGAATGGTAGCTGTCCTTTTTCCCACTGTTTTCTCCCCCCCGATTTTTATTTTCTTGAGACAGACTCTTAGTCTGTCACTCAGGCCAGAGTGCAGTGGTGCAATCTCAGCTCACTGCAACCTCTGCCCCCTGAGTTCAGGCAGTTCTCCTGCCTCAGTCTCCTGAGTATCTGGGACTACAGGTGTCCGCCACTGTGCCCAGTTAATTTTTGTATTTTTAGGTGAGATGGGGTTTTGCCATGTTGGTCAGGCTTGTCTCGAACTTTTGACCTGAAATGACCTACCCACCTCGGCTTCCCAAAGTGCTTGGATTACAGGTGTGAGTCACCACACCCAGCCTTCCTCCCAATTTTGCATATGGGAAAACAACTAAGGCACAAAGGTTGTCTTCCCGCAAAAGACCAAGACTTGGGGCTTCAACTGAGAGGTATTGTAGTCCTTTTAAACTTGATATTTAGAAGAGGATGATCAAGAGGAAGTTGGTTATGCTACTTGCTTTCAGTATACATCATTCAGAGGTCAGAAGCCATAAGGGAGAGAAATATCTATTAGATAAGCATGTCTGAGTTGCGGGCTGTGATGAGGACTCAGTTGTCAATGATGAAAACCAGTAATTTTTGGTACTAGAATTTCACATCAAATGCCCCCACTTTACTGGAAGTACATTGAGGAACTTTGATAATCTTAAAGAAGCCAGTGATTTTCTTTTGAACATTTCTCCATTTTCCTTTATTTTCAGCCTTCTACTAGTCGAAAGCGGCCTCGTGAAGGGGAAGCCGAGGGTGCCGAGACCACAAAGCGCCCGGCTGTGTGTGCTGCTGTGTTGTGAACTCCGTGGTTTGAACATGAAAGAAATGTACCTTCTTTCACTCTGTCATCTTTCTTTTCTTTGAGTCTGTTTTTTTATAGTTTGTATATTAATTATGGAAATAATTGCTTTTTCACAGTCACTGATGTACAATTAAAAACCTGATGGAACCTGGGCTTTGTGCTTCTGCTTGATAATCGGTTCTTTAGTTGAATGGCTTTATTATTTATTTATTTGAGATGGAGTCTCACTCTGTTGCCCAGCCTGAAGTGTAGTGGTGCAAGCTTGGCTCACTGCAACCTCTGCTTCCCAGGTTCAAGCGATTCTCGTGCCTCAGCCTCCTGAGTAGCTGGGATTACAGGTATGCGCCACCATGCCAAGCTAATTTTTATATTTTTTTGTAGAGACTGGGTTTTGCCATGTTGGCCAGCCTGGTCTTGAACTTCTGACCTCAGGTGATCCGCCTGCCTCGGTCTCTTAAAGTGCTGGGATTACACATGTGAGCCACTATGCCTAGCCTGAATGGCTTTTTTATATTTAAAGTTGTTGTGTGCCTTTCATCTGGAGCTACACCTTGGCTATCACTAGGCAGGTTTCCCAGGATGTCACCCTGGTCTCAGCCTGTGAGAGCTGAATGCAAATTCTAAGGGCCCCTTGGAAAGTTCCAGGGAAAGGAGCATAGCGAGGTTGGGGGTGGAGTTTGTAGAGACTGGCTGGCTGGCTGCTGACATCTTCATGAGAACAGCAGGTACCTTGGTGCATAATAACAGGCCAGGTTATACTCTCATCCTTGCCCTCATAAAGATACAGGTCTACAGTCTCTGAAACCTTTGGGCTAGATAAGTTGTGAAATTTAATTACCCAATTTTCGGAAGGTGGTAAGGCATATCTACTATGTGTATGTGTAGCACCCCAGTGGAGTCCTACACATGTGGAGTCCTACCCCAGTGGAGACCAAACATGTTAATATTTCCACAGCAAATATTCACAGTAAGAGGGATAGAGAAAGATTGTAGGTAGTTGCATATTGATTCATATCAGTCTTTTCTTCCAAATGAGCTACAATGACTCATTTTTGAGAGCTGTTTGGGTTTTGGAAGTGGAGATAAGGCACGGTTATGTCTTGATGACCCAATAATGACCGGGGAGGCCTTGTGCAAAGACTTACCCTTGGCTGCTCTTGTCCTCACAGTGATTCTATGAGGTCCTCTAGCCACTGTCATGTCACAGGTGAGGAAACCAAAGTTGGAGGATGAAGGTAACTTTTCTGATGTCGCGCAGCTGGTAAATGGCAGAGCTGGGACCCAACCCAGGTCTTTTTGACTCTAAAACTAATGTTCCTTATTGTCCACTGAATCTGCCTTTATAACTTTGCTTGGTCGATGCTAGGACACTTTGTAGCTCACTGGCCATGCCATGAATTGAGTGCCATGGTTCAAAGGCCACTGGTGATTCAGTCAAGGCAGGCTCAAGGGCACACAGCCATTTCCTTAGGAAATGGGGATGGTGGTTGAAAATTTCTATTAAAGGGTATATAAGCATTCTGAGACTTGGCTGGCCGGGTGTAGGGGGTTTGTTGGGAATTTAGGTGGTTTGCATGTTTAAAGGAATAAGACTGAGATTTCCAATTAGATAGGTTTTAGCTCATTTGAATATTTAATGTGGAGGCTGTGGTTTCCTGGGACATTTTTCCCACTGTGGAGAGTTAGCCAGCTTTTCTCTGTTTCTTTTTTCTTTTTTTTTTTTTAATCGAGATGAAGTCTCATGCTTGTCACCCAGGCTGGACTGCAATGGTGCAATCTCAGCTCACTGCAACCTCCGCCTCCTGGGTTCAAGCGATTCTCCTGACTCAGCCTCCCGAGTAGCTGGGATTACAGCCACCTGCCACCATGCCCAGCTAATTTTTGTATTTTTAGTAGAGATAGGGTTTCACCATGTTGGTCAGGCTGGTCTTGAACCCCTGACCTCAGGCAATCCACCCGCCTCCCTCCCAAAGTACTGGGATTAGAGGCATGAGCTACCATGCCCGGCCGCCCTTCTCTGTTTCCAGATCATTTTGTATTAACTCCCCCTCATGATATTTTCCATGGCAGGCTGAATAATGGCCCCTCCAAAGTGTCCTCAACTTAATCCCCGGAATCTGTGACTATGTTCCTTTCCATGACAAAAGGGACTTTGCAGATGTGATTAAGCATCTTGAGATGGGAACTTATCCTATGTTGCCTGTGGGCCCAGTGTCCCATCACAGTGCTTTTTTTTTTTTTTTTTTTTTTTTTTTGAGACAGAGTTTTGCTCTTGGTGCCCAGGCTGGAGTGCAATGATGCAATCTCGGATCACTGCAACTCCATCTCCCAAGCTTCAAGTGATTCTCTTGCCTCAGCCTTCCGAGCAGCTGGATTACAGGTGCTCGCCAACATGTCCAGCTAATTTTGTTTTTCCGGTAGAGATGGGGTTTCACCATGTTGGCCAGGCTAGTCTCGAACTCCTGACCTCGTGATCTGCCCACCTTGGCCTCCCAAAGTGCTGGGATTACAGGCGTGAGCCACCACATCCAGCCTACAGTGTTCTTTTAAGAGGGACTCAGCAGTCAGGGGAGATGGCAATGCGATGATGACTGAGTGTCTTAGTCTTTTTTGTATTGCTATGCAATATCTGAGGCTGGGTAATTTATAAAGAACAGGTTTATTTCTTAGAGTTCTGGAGGCTGGGAAGGTCAAGATCAAGGGGCCTGCTTCTGGTGAGGGTCTTCTTGCTGTGTCATCCCATGATGGAAGGTATCACATCAAGAGAGAAAGGGGGCTGAACTCAATCCTTTTATTAGGAACCCATCCCCATGATAATTAACCCTCTGCTGAGATAACATCATTACTCTATTAATGAGGGCAGATCTTTCATGACCTAATCTCCTCTTAAAGGTCCCACCTCTCAACACTGTTGCATTGGGGATTAAATTTCCAACACATGAACTTTGGGGGACACATTCAAACCATAGCACTGTGCAGAGATTGGAGTGATATGCTTTAAAAATGGAAGAAAGGGCCACAATCCAGGGTATATAGGTAACCACTAAAAGCAGAAAAAGGCAAGAAAACGGGTTTTCCCTTCAGAACCTCCTGAAGGAATCAGTCCTTTACAACTTGACTTTAGCCAAGTGAAACTGATTTGAGGCTTCTGAACTATAGAACAATAAGATATTAAGTCTGTGTTGTTGTAAGCCAATCAGTTCATGGTAATTTGTTACAGCAGCCATAGAAAACTAATTGACTCACCAATGGGAGAAATCAGCTGCTGATTGAAGGTTACCAAACATCTACTTCCTTTCCTAACGTCACTTTAATTTTATCTTGGAGGAATTCTTTTCCCTACCCCATTAAGTTATGGGAGATGGGGCCAGGCATGGTGGCTTAGCAATCCCAGCACTTTGGGAGGCTGAGGCAGGTGGATCACTTGAGGTCTGGAGTTTGAGACTAGCCTGGACAACATAGTGAAACCCCATCTTTACTAAAAATACGAAAATTAGCCAGGTGTGGTGGTAGGCACCTGTAATCCCAGCTACTCCAGAGGCTGTGGCATGAGAATTGCTTGAACCTAGGAGGCAGAGGTTGCAGTGAGCTGAGATCGCATCACTGCACTCCAGCTTGTGTGACAGAGTGAGACTCCATCTCAAAAAAAAAAAAATTTTGTGGGAGAGGATGGTAAAGCTAAGTATCTTTTGCACCTACTCCCCAGCCCCACCACTGCAGAAGCTGAAGGGGTTCCTAGAGGCTTCTTCTGCCATGGAGCGGATCCCACTGGCCCCTAGCTAGAGGTGGGTGTAGGACTTTGAAACATGAACAAATGGAGCTGGGATGGTAAGGGCGGGAACAATATTGTGCTAATCTGAACTCTGCACTTCCTAACTTTGGCTCTGGGTAAATTACCTCAAATTGCTGAGCCTTTGTTTCCATATTTATAAAATGGGTGCAGTAAGAGTACCAACCTCTTCTATGCTGTTTGGAGGAGGCAGGTCCATAAGGTACCTGGCATGTGGTAGGGGATTCATGAATGTTGGCTTCTATCATTAAGGGTGGGGGAGCCACATAAGTAGCCAGAGGGAGTCATAGAAAGTTCTTGAGCCAGAGAAGTAAGATAATCTTTTCAGCTTTTTGTGCAGCATAAAAGGCGGGTAATTTGCTTGCCTTTGACCAAGGAAATTTGGGACGTGCCAGGCCTGGGGTGAATGGTGGGAACCCAAATAGAGGGATATTTCTCATTGGCTGAATTAACTGTGATTCCATTTTGCGGAGCAGCCAGGTTGCTTCATGGTGGACCTGCTGCATGCCTACATGATGGTGCCATGGATAGCTCTTGTTTGTGCCAGCCCTGTATCTGACACCTCCTGTGGTAATTGCATCCCTATTTTTCAGAAGGAAGCATCCCTCCTCCCACTTTCTGGTTTTCCCCATGTCCTTCTGGAGGGGATGACCCCAACTGCTTCCTGAAGGGGCTTCCTGAAAGCCAGGTCTGGCCAGGCTGGATGTGGTGGTTGGCTCAGGCAGGGGCATGTGGCCCAAACGGGTCCAGTGAAAGTCAGTCCTGGGACTTTGGCTGGAACTATTGGGGAACAGCCTCTGCTTTCTTGCGCAGATGTGAGTTAGGAGCTGCTCAGGCCACTATGTGGAAAGAATTGCATGAGAATGAAGTAATCAAAGGGAAGCAAGCACCGAGACATTAGAGAGACTTATCTTGTATAAGTGCCTGTATCCAGCTATGCCTGAAGTGAGGTACCACCCCAGGCCTTTTCAGTCATGCTATCAGTTTTGTTCCTTTTTTCTGTTTTACTCTTGGTGGAGTTATTTTTTTTTTCCTTGTTACTTGAATAAGAAAAATACCAAACTAGAAGGCTGGGTGCAGTGGCTCATGCCTGTAATCCCAGTACTTTGGGAGGTCAAGGCAGGTGGATCATGAGGTCAGGAGTTTGAGATCAGCCTGACCAACATGGTGAAATCCTGTCTCTAATAAAAATACAAAAAAATTAGCCAGGCGTGGTGGTGCGTGCCTTTAATCCCAGCTACTCAGGAGGCTGAGGCAAGAGAATTGCTTGCATCTGGGAGGCGGAGGTTGCAGTGAGCCGAGATCGTGCCACTGCACTCCAGCCTAGGTGACAGAGCAAGACTCCATCTCAAAAAAAAAACAAAAACAAAAACAAAAAAGCAAAACAAAAAGAAAACCAGACTAGTAAATGCAACCATTTACAAATCCCAAGAGACTCTTGAAGATTCTTTTTGTTAGTAGGGAAAACATTCTCCATTTTTCTGCCAACTTTAGGGTTTTCAGAGAAGTTTTGGGGAGAGAAAGGAAAGCAAACAGGTGGGAAGAAAGAGTCCTTGAAACCCCAAGTCGGGCGAACTCCTCCCAGCTACTTATACCACAGGGTTTTGGGAGCAGAGCCCCTTTCATTAAACTTTTAGGATTCTTGGATGGATAGGGTGGGAATTACACCAGTGAAACTCAGCTTTGTGTGTGCCAGGCATTGGGCCCTGGGATATGCAGTCATGTGTTGTATAATGACATTTTAGTCAATGACAAACCACATGTAAGTCACTGGTACCATAAGACGATTATGGAGCTGAAAAATTCCTATTGCTTAGTGACATAGCCATTGTAATGTTAGGGTAATGCATTTCTGTGTTTCTGGTGATGCTGGTGTAAACAAATCTGTGCTGCCAGTTCTATAAAAGCATAGCATGTACAATTACATACAATATATAATACTTGATAATGAACAACTATGTTACTGGTTTATTTTATTTTTTTGAGACAGAGTCTTGCTCTGTCGCACAGGCTGGAGTGCAGTGGCGCGATCTTGGCTCACTGCAACTTCTGCCTCACAGGTTGAAGCGATTCTTCTGCCTCAGCCTCCTGAGTAGCAGGGAATACAGGCACCCACCACCACGGCCAGCTAATCTTTGTATTTTTAGCAGAGATGGGGTTTCACCACACCGCCCAGGCTGGTCTCAAACTCCTGACCTCAAATGATCTGCCCGCCTCAGCCACCTGAAGTGCTGGGATTACCCACATGAGACACTGTGCCCAGCCCTGGTGTATTTAGTGTTTTTCATAATTTTAGAATGTATGTCTTCTACTTACATTAAAAAATAGTTAACTATAAAACAGCCTCAGGTAGGTCCTTCAGGAAGTATTCTGGAAGAAGAAGGCATTCTTATCACAGGAGATGACATCTCCATGCGTGTAATTGCCCAGGCGGGAGTGCAGTGGCACAATCTCGGCTCACTGCAACCTCCGCCTCCTAGGTTCAAGCGATTCTCCTGCGTCAGTCTCCTGAGCAGCTGGGATTACAGGTGCACACCAACATGCCTGGCTAAGTTTTGTATTTTTAGTAGAGATGAGGGTTTCACCACGTTGGCCAGGATGGTCTTGAACTCCTGACCTCAAATGATCTGCCTGCCTCGGCCTCCCAAAGTGCTGGGATTACAGGCGTGAGACACCACGACTGGCAAAATTTTTAAGATACATTTCAGTAAGCTAAGGTTAATTTATTGAAGAAAAGCTTTAAAAAAATTTGGTGTAGCCTAAGCATATGGTGTTTATGAAGTCTACAGTAGTGTACAGTAAGGTCCTATGCCTTCACAATCATTGACTCATCCACAGCATCTTCCAGTCCTGTAAGCTCCTTTCGTGGTAAGTGCCCTATACAGGAGTACCATTTTAAATTCTCTTATGCTCTATTCTTACTGTACCTTCTCTATGTTCAGGTACACAAGTACTTACATTGCGTTACAACTGCTTATGGTACATTCAGTAAAGTATCAGGCTGTACAGGTGTGTAGCCTAGGAGCAATAGGCCATACAGCCTAGGTGTTTAGTAGGCTATACAAGGCTATACAAGGTTTGTGTTAATGCACTTTGCTGTTTGCACAATGCTGCAATCACCTAAGGAGGCATTTCTCAGAACCATCCCGTGATTAAGAGAGGCATGATCATACAGTCATCATCTCCCTGAAAGCTCAGTCAACCCTGTGCAGTGCTACTGCCACACTCCCCTTTTGCACATGTAGAAATCAAGGATCTTTGGCTCCTCTGAGTGACTTGTTCAAGGTTTCTCAGTTTCCAAGAGATGGAGGCGGGACTTGAATTGAGATTTCCCTTTCTTGAGAACCTGTGGTCCTTAACCATTAAAACCACTTAAGAGGTCTTCTCTCTTGATCACTACCTACTAAGTGCTAGGCGCGGTGCTGAGGCGTTCTCTTGATTATGATATTGAGTCTTCAGATTTCGGAGAAACAGGCCGAGCGCGCTGGCTCACGCCTGTAATCTCAGCACTTTGCGAGGCCAAGGCGGGAGGATCACAAGGTCAGGAGATGGAGACCATCCTGGCTAACACGGTGAAACCCCACCTCTACTAAAAATACAAAAATCAGCAGGTGGTGGCGGGCGCCTGTAGTCTCAGCTGCTCCGGAGGCTGAGGCAGGAGAATGGCGTGAACCCGGGAGGTGGAGCTTGCAGTGAGCCGAGATCGCGCCACAGCACTCCAGCCTGGGTGACAGAGCGAGACTGTCTCAAAAAAAAAAAAAAAAAAAAAAAAAAAGATTTAGGAGAAACAAGTCCCGAAGCCCTGACCCTAACACGCAAGGGTTAGTGGAGATGTGGGACTTCAACTCAGCTTCTCCGTTGAGTCTGGCTGTCTCCGGGACGCAGGCACCTGCTTGCACACCTCCACGGTGGCGATCCCGCCCCCTTAGTAGCGTCCTTAGCTGGGCACTTCTTGCAGGGAAGCTCCTCTTGGCCCAGACCCTCGTCCTAGGCCCCGCGTGGTGGGGGAAGCGAAAGGGGCAGTGTGGGGAAGTGGCCGAGGGGTCGGGTCCGGGGTGGTCTGCAGAGAGGCAGGCGGCGGTGCCGAGCCGGGAACCACGCGCTCACCCGCGGAGTCGGACGGGCCCGGCGGGGGTGGGCGAGACACTGGGAACAGCGGCCAGCTCCAGAGGGCGCGAGGCGGGGCGCGCGGGGAGGGAGGGGGCGCGGCGAACGCGCGCGTGCGGGGTTCGTGTGTGGGCCCGCGGGGGCGCGCGTGGCTGGGGGGCAGTGAGGGTCGCCTCGGCGGCGAGCAGCACAGCGGGAACATGGCGCCCGGAACTGGCGAGCGCGCCTAGCTGGCGGGACCGTTAGCTCGAGGCGGACGCGGCCCGGACCCGGTGGATGTGGAGCAGTCGCCGCTGCCGGCGCCCAAGCCGACCCCAGGGCCGACCCCCGCAAGGAGCTGAAGGAGGTGGGAGCCCCAGTCGCCGCGGGCGTCGGCGCCGGTGAGTGCGTGAGGGGCTCGGGCCGGGAGACTTTCTTTGTGAAACTCCGGCGGTGGGAGCCTGGCCGGGCCTCAGCGGCTGAGGAGTGCCTGTGAGGCGGAAGGCGTCTGGCAGTCCGGGTTCCATCCCAGCCGCTAGCCGTCAGGCGGCGGGACCTGGTCCGCCGCCTGCCTGCCTCAGTTTCCACGGGAGTGTGTGCGGGTGTGTGAGGGTGTGTATGGGTGTTGGCCTGCGCACACCGGAGGGGGGGTCGGTATACTGTCAGCGCCTAATGCGCGCGGCGCCTCCCCCCTCCCCCCAGTCCCCGTGGGGCGGAACCTGGGGACTGGAGTCCACCGGAGCAGTAGGCGGCACCCGCGGGGAGACAGATGTCCGCACAGCCCGGGAGGCTCAGGTGCTACCTTTCCCTGGTGGGGTTTGTGAGGAGTGAGCTCTTCGTTCCCGGAGGCGAGCAAGTCTGTCGGTGGCTCATCACAGAGCGCTGTTTTGGAAAGCGTTCCACCCACCTCAGCTTCCTGCTGTGTTTGGGCCACTAGTCAGGG
This sequence comes from Homo sapiens, assembly GCF_000001405.40. NCBI lineage: Eukaryota > Metazoa > Chordata > Mammalia > Primates > Hominidae > Homo > Homo sapiens. The sequence continues at coordinate 1,854,506 of NT_187383.1, read as the reverse complement.
GGAAGGATGCTGAGCGACATGGACTTTAGAGGTGGGACCCCCGCTGGACGGGATGGGTCTGGGCTCTCGAGCTTACCCCCACCCTTTCCTCCCAAACCCGTTAGAGCGTAGGAATCATTGGGAGCACCTGATAAAAATGCCACGGATTGTGGCTCACCTAAGCAGGGAAGCCGATTTGGAACTTAAACAAGCTCCCAAGTTGTGATCAGTCGAGCTTGGCAAGCACTGTTTGAGAGAGTAGGCTTCCCGCAAGCAGGAGCCGGTTTTGTGTATACCTCACCATGGCATCTTGGTACCTGGCATGGTGCCTGGCACACGGTAGATGATCAGAAAATATCTGTAGAAAGTCTAAATTATTAGGGAGAGTGCAGCATAGGAGTTCTTGAGACATTTTCAGGAGCTTCTTGAGATTAATATCTGTCAGATTTGTTTTACAGTATATTTTTCTCAGCTCCCAACTTTTGTGATTGTTTTTAATGCCATGTTTTCAGTATGTTCTAGGCAAAAGCAGGGTATATGTTGCTTAGTATACACTATCGAGTAGGCCGGTTGTGGTGGCTCACTCCTGTAATCTCAGCACTTTGGGAGGCAGATTGCTTGAGCCCAGGGGCTTGAGGCTGTAGTGAGCCAAGGACTTAGAGACCAGTGTGGGAAACATAGCGAGGCTCGTCTCCGCAAAAATTAGCTGGGTGTGGTAACGTGCACTTGCAGTCCCAGCTACTCTGGAGACTGAGGTGGGAGGATCGCTTGAGCTCAGGAAGCACAAGTTGCAGTGAGCCAAGGTTGTGCCACTGCATTCCATCCTGGATAACACAGCGAAACCCAGTCTCTTAAATAAGTAAATAAATACATAAATGATTATGTATACTCCAGCTAGGTTAAAATTAATTCTGAATCAAAATTCTAAATTAAAATATGCATGTTTCTTTGTCTTCATCATTTGAGAACACTAGGCTTTTAGGATTTCATTCCGTTGAGGCAGGTAAATATCTACATTTTTGACAAAGCAAATATGAATTACTGTTAATTCGAGAAAGGTGGGAATTTGCTTAAACCTGAGTATTTGTAGTCTTTGTGACTTTTTTAAATTTTAAATTTAAATTTTCTTTTTTTTTTCTTTTTTTTTGAGATGGAGTCTCACTCTGTCGTCCAGGCTGGAGTGCAGTAGCACAATCTCAGGTCACTACAACCTCCACCTCCCGAATTCATACGATTCCCCTGCCTCAGCCTCTGGTGTAGCTGGCATTACAAGTGTGTGCCACCATGCCCAGCTAATTTATGTATTTTTAGTAGAGAGGAGGTTTCACTGTGTTGCCCAGGCTGGTCCCAAACTCCTTGACCTCAAGTGATCTGCCCACCTTGGCCTCCCGAAGTGCTGGGATTACAGGTGTGAGCCACAGCACCTGGCCTTATTTTTATTTTTTTGAGACGGACTCTCAGTCTGTCGCCCAGGTTGGAGTGCTGTGGCATGATCTCCACTCACTGCAACCTCCACCTCCCAGATTCCAGTGATTCTAATGCCTCGGCCTCCTGAGTAGCTGGGGTTACTAGACCCGGGTAATTTTTGTTGTATTTTTTTAGTAGAGACTGGGTTTCCCTATGTTGGCCAGGCTGCTCTGGAACTCCTGGCCTCTAGTGAGGCTCATGCCTCGTCCTCCCAAAGTGCTGGAATTACAAGCATGAGCCACTGCCCCCAGCCAATCTTTGTGATATTTTGAAATTGACGTTTATATTTTGTTCAGAGTCAAAGCTAAAATAGAATTGTTTGAAAATTAATATTTCAGGAACTATTTTTTAATTAAGTTGAATTTTATTTTATTAGTTTCATTTCAGTAGAGTTTTAACCTAAAAAATATATATATACATATACACATATATACGTATATATATATATATATACGCATATATGTGTATATGTGTGTGTGTGTATATATATATATATATATATATTTTTTTTTTTTTTTTTTCCTGAGACGGAGTCTTGCTCTGTCACCCAGGCTGGAGTGTAGTGGAATGATCTTGGCCTCACTGCAGCCTCCACCCTCCCGGCTCAAGCAATTCTCCTGCCTCAGCCTCCCAAGTAGCTGGAATTACAGGTGCCCACCACTACACCTGGCTAATTTTTATATTTTTAGAAGAGATGGGGTTTCACCATGTTGTCCAGGCTGGTTTTGAACTCCTGATCTCAAATGATCTGCCCTCCTTGGCCTCCCAAAGTGCTGGGATTACAGGCGTGAGCCCCCGTGCCTGGCCTAAAAAATATTTTTAAAGGCAGGATCTAGCTATGTTGCCTCAGCTGGTCTTGAACTCCCAGTCTTGGCCTCAAGTGATCCTTCTTCCTCAGCCTTCTGAATAGCTGGAAGCACAGCTGTGAGCCAGCACACATGGCTTTTTTTTATTTCTAATAAAGTTAATAGAGTTTCTTGTTTCACTGGACAAAATATGCATATATAGGAAGGAAAGACTTTTGGACTTGAGATTGCGCTGAAGAAGAAAAATGGAAAAATTAAGCATTTTAGTCTCTCAGTGTGTTATTTTTGTAGCTTATACAGATATGTCTTTTTAAAGTGTCTTTAAAAAGCTTTATTGAGATAAAGATAAATGAGATAAATTCACCTACCATGAAATCAACCCCTTGAGTGCAGAATTTTGTGGTTTATAATATGTTCACAGAATCGCACAAACAAGACAGGTATCTAGATACTTTCAGACCATTTTCATCAGTCCACAAGAAATCCCATACCCATTAGCAGTCATCCTTATTCCCTTTTCCCCTAGTCCCTGGCAATAACTAGCTTACTTTCTGTCTCTGAGTTTAGCTGTTCTGGAGGTTTCACAGAATGAAATCTTACTACATATGGTCTTTTGTGATTGACTTATTTCACTTGACACAGTGTTTTCAAGGTTTATCCATGCTGTAGCGTATATCAACACTTCATTCTTTTTTAATGCTGAGTAATCTTTTGAATGGATATACCATATTTTTTCAGTTCCTCTGTTGATAGGCACTTGAGTTTTTTTTCCAATTTTTGGCTATTATGCACAATGCTGCTGTGAACATTTGTGTACAAATTTTAGTGTGGATGTATATTTTCATTTCCCTTGGGTATATCCCTAAGGAATACACTATCCGGGTCATATGATAATTGTTTAAGACTACAGGCACGTGCCACCACACCTGGCAAATATTTAAAAATTTTTTGTAGATAAAGGGTCTCGCTATTTTGCCCAGGCTGATCTTGAACTCCTGGCCTCAAGAGATCCTCTCACCTCAGCCTCCCAGAAAGTGTTAGCATTACAGATGTGAGTCACTGCACCTATAAAAGAGGTTCATACCTCTTTTTATGTATTTTTTTTTTGAGACAGGCTTTCACTCTGTTGCCCAGGCTGGAGTGCAGTGGTGGGATCACAGCTCACTGCAGCCTGGACCTCTCTCCATATGATTCTAGCTGTGGGTGTCTTTCCTGTAGTTTTTATTATGTTGTGGTATGTTTCTTCTGTACCCGTTTATTTGAGGATTGATAGCATGAAGGGATGTTGAATTTCATCAAATGCTTTTTCAGTTTCAGTTGACATGATCATACTGTTTTTGTCGTTTATTTGGTTGATATGATGTATCACATTGTATGTTGAGTGACTCTTGCATCCCAGGGATACATCCCACTTGATCATGATGAATTATCTTTTTAATGTTTTACTGAATTTGATTCACTGGTATTTCGTTGAGGATTTTTGCATCAATATTAGAGATACTGGCCTGTAGTTTCCTTCTTTGATGCCTTCGTCTGATTTTGGTATCACAGTAATAATGGTCTCATAGAATAAGTTTGGAAGTATTCCCTCCTGTTTTTCAAAATAGTTTGAGTAGGATTTGTACTAGGTCATTAAATTGTTTGGTGTGAAGCCATCAGCAGTGAAGACATCAGTTCCTGGGCTTTTCTTTACTGGGAGACTTTTTCTGATGGCTTCAATCTCATTACTTGTTACCAATCTGTTCTGGTCTTGGATGTTTTCATTGTTCAACCTAAGTAGGTTGTATGCATCTAGGAATTTGCCAATTTCTACTAGGCTTTCCAATTTATTGGCATATAATAGCCAGTTATGATCCTTTGAATTTCTGAAGTATTAGTTGTAATGTCTCCCTTTTTTAATCTGTTGATTTTATTTATTTGAATCTTGTCTCTTTTTTCTTAGTTAGCCTGGTTAAAAGTTTGTCAATTTTGTTTTGCTTTCCAGAAAACCAACTTTTCATTTCATCTTGTGTGTTTTTTTCTTTCAATTTTATTTCTGCTACGATCTTATTTATTTTTCTTATTTTTGGTTTAGTTTGTTCTTACTTTACTAGTTATTTAAGATGTATTGTTTATTTGAAGTTTTTCTTTTGTTTGGATGGTAGGCACTTATAGCTGTAAATCTCTGCCTTTGTACTGCTTTCTGCATAACAAGTTTTGGTATACTGTGTTTTCGTTACCCTTTGTTTCATGAAATTTTTGAATTTCTGTCTTATTATCTTCATTGACCCGCTAGTCATTTATTCAGGTGGGTAGTGTTTAACTTCCATGTGATTGTATTGTTTCCAAAATTACTCTTCTTATTGATATCTAGTTTTATTCCTTTGTAGTCAAAGAAGATGGCCACGGAGACAGCAGTGTGGTCAGAGTGGTGGAGCTGGTCATCGGCGAGAGCTGCTCCATGTCTGTCTGCTGAGTGCTAGAGCCTGTGGCCCACTGGCTTGCCTCACTGTGGTTGATGGTGGCGGTGACAGAGACTGCAGCACGACCAGAGTGGTAGGACAGGGGCTATCCAGGGCTGCACCTTTCACAGTGTGGGGTGGGTTGGGGGTGCTATCCAGGGTGTCATTGCCTGCATTAGGGGCACTGGTTGGTAGCACTGTACAGGGCTGCACTTCCCGTGGCAGGGAGGGTGGGTTATGGGCACTTTCTGGGGCTGCAGTGCCCATGGAGGAGGACAGGTTAGGGCACTATCAGGTATATGCTACTGGCGGCATTGGGGGATGGAGGTGGGGGGCGCTATTGAGGGCAGGACTATCCATGGAGCGGGGGCGAGTTCGGTGCTATCAGGGGCTGCACTGCTGGCAGTGGTCAGCAGAGTTGGCATCCAAGGAAGGAGTGGTTCTCCTCTCCCTGACTCCACATTCCAGAGGGCGACCCACTCTTGGTCATACTGGAATGCGGCAGGCACGCAGCGTTTGCGTGGGAATCCTGAGCACGGCAGAACCCCCACACCCACCATGGTTCCTGGGCCTGTGCACTCTGGGTCTGTGCCTCAGAGGCTGCCAGGCACCCCTGGGGACACCACGGGGGACAGGGCCCTGGGTGCGGAGGCGTCTGGAACAGGAATTGGCACCTGGGTGCGGAGGGCTGGCTGGGTCTGAATTTTTCTGCTTCTCCTGCTCCCCGAGGAGTGCAGCCCCGGTGGGCCCAATGGTTCCTGTGGAGTGGGGAGCTGGGTGCTGTGGTGTCTCCAGCACCCACCCCAGACCCCAGTTCCCGGCCAGCTTGGGCCAAAAGGAGAGGCTGGACTTTGGAGGGTGGGTGTGAGTGCCTTTGCTGAAACTGGCCCCTGCCACCCAGTGGCCAGCATGACAAGTTGAGGCTCTAACCCTTCCACCCCTCACATCTTCCTCTAGGCTTTTCTGGCTTTGCCCACCCAGCTGCTCCATGCCAGGAGGAGGAGGAGACACCTAGAGCCTGCGACACCACGACTTGCCTCACTGCGGGTGGGTGGCAGCGACAGAGACTGCAGTGCGCCAGAGCGGTAGGAGAGCGGCCGCGCTAGGAGGGCAGGCGGCTGCAGCCAGGGTTGGGGGTCAGGCTTACAGCGATGGACGGGCTGCAGCAGTGGCCAGGTGGTAGGAGCCTTGTAGGGAAGGCTGGTGCATTGGCAATGGGCCTGGCTTTGCCCTGCATTGCCCTGTACCCGCCCTACTGTTACCTGGACTGTCTCGGCCCTGTCCTGCTCTGGTCCCATCCTGACCCTGTCTTGGCCCTGTGCTACTCTGTCCCTGTCCTGGTCTTGCCCTGGCACTGGCCCTGCCCTGAACTGGCACTGGCCCTGCCCTGAACCTGCACTGGCCTGACCTTGGCTCTGGCCCTGGCTCTGGCCCTACCCCTTGTCCTGACCCTGGTCATGTCATGGCACTGGCCCTGCCAGTGGTCATGGTCCTACTCCTGTTCTGGCCCTGACCTGGCCTTGGACATGTCCTGGTCTTGCTTTGGCCCATCCCTGCCCTGGCCCTACCATGGGCCTGCCTTTTCTGCCCTCTCCTGGCACTGACCTTGCCCTGTCATGGCCCAGTGGTGCCATTGCCCTGCTTTACACTGCACTGGTTGTACCTCGGCCCCGCTTGGTGCTGGCCACTCCCTGGACCTGCCCAGACCCTGCCTTGACTTTTGCCCTGCCCTCACTACGGCCTGGCCCTGGCCCTAGCCCTGGTCCTGCCATATCCCTGGCCCTGCCCTTATCCAGGCCCTGCCCCTGCTGCTGCCCTGGCCCTGGCCTGGAACCTGGTCCTGTCAAGGACCTGCCCTGACTCTGTCATGGCCCTGGCCCTGCTCTGCCTTGTCCTGGCCCTGACCCTTTCCTGGCTCTGCACTGGCCTTTCCCTGGCCCTGAGCTGGCAGTGGTCTACCCCTGCTCTGGCCATCACCCTGCCCTGCTGTGCTCTGGATGTGTCCTCACCCTGCCCTGGCCCTACTCTGCCTTTGACCCTGCCCTGGCCTTACCTTGGCCCTCACCCTAGTCTTCGCTAGGCCCTGCTCTGGAGCTGGCCCTAGCACAGACCTGGCCCTGACCCTGGCCCTGGTCTTTGTCCTGCCATAGCCCTGGCCCTGAAGTGGACTTGGAGGTGTCCTGGCCCCGGCGTAACATGGCTCTGCATTGGCCTGTCCCTGCCCTGCCCCTACCATTGCCTTGCCCTGCTCTGCCCTGTCCCAGTACTGACCCGGCCATGCTATTTCCCTGCCCTACCCTGCCTTGGCTGTGCCCTGGCTCAGTTCTGGCCCTGGCCCCGGCCCTGCCCTGGACATGTTCTGACACTGCCTCAGCCTTGGCACTAGCCTGGCTCTCTCTTGGCATCAGTCCTGCTCTCTCTGTGGACCGGCTCTTGTCCTGTCCTCTACTGGCCATACCATGCCCTGCCCTGCCCTGCCCTGACTCAGCCCTGGCCCAGCCTTGGCCTTGGCATTGCCCCTGGTCCTGCCATATTTCTTGCCCTGTCCCTACCCTGGCCTTGGCCCTGACCCTTACCTTGCTCTGGCCCTGCCCTTGCCCTAACACAGCCCCTGGCCCTGTCATGGCCCTGCCCTGGACCTGTCCTGGCCCTGGCCTTTCCCTGCTTGAGACCTTGCCCTGGTTCTCCTCTGGCCCTGACCCTGAAATGCCTGGCCCTACCCTGGCCTTGCACTGCTCTGGCCCTTGCCCTGACTCTGGTCCTGTCACTGGCCTAGCCCCATCCCTGTTGCTGGTCTTACCATGGCCCAGACCCTGCCTTGGCCCTGCCCTGACACTATCCTGGACCCTGGCTGTGCCAAGATCCTGCACTGTCCTTGCCCTTGTTTTGCTCCTGCCCCAAACCTGGTCTTGCCCAGGCCCTGGCCCTGGCCCTCCCCTGGCTGTTCCCTGGCCCTGCCCAGGTCTTGGCACTGGCCTGGCCCTGCCCTGCCTTGGCCCTATGCTTTCCTGGCCCTTCCTTGACGGCCCTGGTCCTGCCTTGGCCCTAGCCTGGCTTTGACCCTGCCCTGGCCCTACCTTGGCCTTCATCCTAGCCTTACCTGGGCACTGTGTTGTACCTGGCCATAGCACAGACCTGGCTGTGGCCCTGGCCCTGCCATGGCCCTGCCCCAGACCCTAGCCCTGCCAGGTACCTGTCCTGGCCCTGCTCTGGGCCTGGCTTTGTCCCTGGTTCTTAGGTGACCCTGGCCCTGCCCCTGCCCTTGTCTTTGCCCTGGCACTGGCCTTGGACATGTCCGTGGTCCTAACCCTGGCCCTGCCCTGGAGCTGCCACTGTCTTGGCCCTGCCCTGGCTCTGGCCCTGCCCCGGCCCTGGCCCTGCCCCGGCCCCAGCCATAGACCTGCCCTGGTTGGTCGTGCCCTACCTTAACCCTGTGCTACCCTGGACCTACTCCACCCTGCCCTGGCCCTGCCCTCCCTTTGGCCCTGCCCTGACCCCACCTTGGCCCTAGCACATACCTGGTCCTATCTGTGGCATTGGCCTGGCATTGACCCCTGCTCCTGACCCTGATCCTGCCATGGCCCTTGCCCTGCCAATGACCCTGACAGCCCTGGCCCTGGCCCTGTCTTGGCCCTGGCCCTGAACTGGCCCTGCCCTGACCCTGGCCCTGAATTGGATTTGCAGGTGTCTTGTCCCTGATTTAACCTGGCCCTACCATGGCCCTGTCCCTCTCCTGGCTCTGTCCTGGTCTTGTGCTGACCCTGACCCAGACCTTGGCCCTGCCCCAGCCTTGTCCTTGACCTGGCCATGGCCCTGCCTCTGCCCTGGACCAGCGCTGTCACTGGCATGGACCCTGGCCCTGGCCCTTTGCTACTTAAGGCCATAACCTGTCCCAGCCCTGGTCCTGACCCTGTCCTGGCCCTAATTTGGCCGGCTCTACCCTGGCATGCTATTCTGGCCCTAGCCTTGACCCTGTCCCTGTCCCTCTCCTGGCCCTAGCCCCATTGCTGGTCCTGCCATGGCTCTTATCCTGACATTGCCCTTTCCTGGTCCTGGCCCCGGCCCTGTCCCAGCCCTGTTCTGGCCCTGGTCTGAACCCTGGCCCTGCAATGGACCCTCCTTGGTCCTACCCAGACCCTGGTTCTGGTCCTACCTCTGCCCTGGCCATACCTTTGCCCTGGCCTGGACCCCGGTACTGGTCCTTGTCCTGCCCCAGCCGTGGCCCCGGCCCCGCCCTGCCTGTGCCCTGTTCTATCCTGGGCTGGCCCTGCCATGGCCTGGTCTTGCCATTGGCCTGCCCTAGCCTGCCCTGCTTGTGCCCTAGATCTGCCCCGGCCTTTGCCCCTGTCTTGGTTCCAGCCTTGACTCAGCCCTGGACCTTCCCTGACCTTGCCTCAGCCCTGGCACTACCCTGGCCTTGGCTTGGCATTTGCCCTACTCTCTCTATGGCCTGGCTCTGGTCCTGCCCTGCTCTGCTCTTGTTCTGTCCTGGCACAGCCCTGGCCCTGCCGTATCACTGGCTCTGGTCCTGCCCTTATGCAGGCCTGACCGTGCCCCTGCCTTGGCTTTGGCCTGGACCTTGGCCGTACAGTGACCCTGCCATGACCCTTTCCTGGCCCTGGCCTGGAACTTGGCCCTGCCAAGGACTCGCCCTGGCTCTGTCATGGCCCCGGCCCTTTCCTGGATTTGGATGTGTCCTGTCCCTTATTTGCCCCGGCCCTTCCCTGGCTCTGCCATACCCCTTCTCTGGGGTAGGGCCAGGGTCAGGACCAGGGTAGGGCCATGGTAAGGCCTGAAGATGGGAAGGGCTGGGGCAGCGGCAGGACCAGGGAAGGGTCAGGGCCAGTGATGTGGTAGGACTAGGGGCAGAGCCGGCACTAGGGCTGAGCCGGAGCAGAGCAGGAGAGATTATATTAGGCTATTACATAAAATTTTTATTTTAGATTTTTAAGATAACTATGGTAGTGGTAATAATGTCCATACTATGTTGTTTGTAATAGTAATAATATTTGCAGTAAATAATCACTAAATTTTAACTAATACTATCTTTGCTTCCAGTAGTGTTCTATGAGTACAATTTTATCAATATGTAAATATGTGAGGCATTGATTCTCACAATAATTCTATGTGCTAGGTACTTAAAGCATCCCCATTTTCCAAATGTAGGAAACAGGCATAAAGAAGTTAAATACTTGGCCAGATTACTCCTGTAATCCCAGCACTTTGGGAGGCCAAGGCAGGCAAATGGCTTGAGCTCAGGAGTTTGGAACCAGCCTGGGCAACATTGTGAAACCCCATCTCTACTAAAAATGCACAAAAAGAGCTGATTTAAGTTTCTTGTAGGATTCTGGTTATAAAACACTGGTCAAACACACCGGGCGTGGATAGGGCAGGGCCAGGGACAAGGTCAGGTCAGGAAGGGGCCAGGGCCAAGGCAGGGCCAGAGCTGGACTTGGAGGTGTCCTGGTCTGATTTGCCCTGTCCCAACGTTGGCCCAGCCCTGCTCTGGCACTTCCTGTCATGCCCTGTCCCTGGTCTGAGCATTGGCCCTGGCCCTGTCCTGCTTCTGGCCCTGCCCCAGAGTTGACCAGGCACTGCCATGGCCCAGTCCTGCATTGCCCTGCCCTTTTCTGCCCTGGTGCTGCCATGGCCCTGCTTGGGCCCTAGCTCTGCCTCGACTCTGGACCTGCCCTGACTCTGCTCAGCCCTGGATCTACCCTGACTCTGCCTTGGTGTTGCCCTCCCATCTCTATGGCCTGGCTCTGGCCCTGCCTTGCACAGGCCATGCTCTGCCCTGCATGTCCCAGCCTGGGCCCAGCCCTTGCCCTACCATATTTCTGACCCCACCCGTACCCTTGTTCTGGCCTTGACCCTGCCGTGGCATTCTCCTGGCCCTTCCTTGGTCCTGCCCTGCCCTTCCATGCCCTGGCCTTTCCCTCACCCTGCACTGGTCCTGCCCTGCCCTGGCAGTGCCTTGGCCCTGGCCCTGCCTCTGCCTTCTCCCTGGCCTTGCTCTTTCCCTGCCCTGGCCTGACCCCAGGCCTACCGAGTCCATGAAATGACCCTGGACCTGCCTTGCCATCATCTGTCCTGGCCCTGTATTGTCCCCACCATGCTCTGGTCCAGCGCTTACCCTGGCCCTGTTGCTAGTCCTGCCACTGCTATGGCCCTGCCCTGTTTTTGGCCATGACCTGTGCTACCCTAGCCGTGCCCCGCCTTGGCCTTGGCCCTACCGTGGCCTTTTCCTACCCTGGCCTGGCCGTACACTGGCCATTTCTACCCTGGCCTTGCCCTTCCCTGGTCTTGCCCTGCCCTGGCCTTGCCCTGCCCTGGCCTTGGCTTTGCCTTATCCTGGTCCTGGTTCTGCCCTGGCCCTGCCCTTTCTCTGGATGCTCTCTGGTTCTGCCTTCTCCCTGGCCCTGCCCTTGCTCTGGCCCTGTTCCTGGCTCAGCCTTGACCCTGGCCCTGGCCCTGACAATCCCCAGGCCCCACACTGGCCATGCTTGGCCCTGGCCCCTCCTTTGGCCCTGCCCTGGCCCTGTGCTATCTTAGTACAGGGCCTTGGCCTTGGCCCTGTGCTATCTTAGTCCTGCCCTGGCCCTGAACTTGCCCTGGCCCTACCCTCACCCTACACTGGCCCTGCCCTACCCTGGCCTTGCCCTGACCTGGCCCTGCCTTTGGCCTGCCCTGGCTCTGGTTCTGCCCTGGCCTTGCCCTTGCCCTGGACCCTCCCTGGCCATGTTTTTACTGTGGTCCTTCTCTGGCCTTGCCCTTGCCCTTTCCCCTTTCTGGTCCTGCCATGTTTCTGGCCCTGCCCTGTCCATGTCCTGGACCTGACTCTGGCCCTGGACCTCCCTGTCCCTGCCCTGCCATACCCTGGCCCGTTCCTTGCTCTACACTGACCCTGCCCTGCCTTGGCCCTGTGCTACCCTAGCCCTGCCCTGGCCTTCTGCTGGCCCTGATCCTGCCATGGCCCTGGCCCTGCCATGTCCCTGCCCTGGCCCTGGTTCTGCCCTACTTCTGGCCCTGGCCTTGGTCCTCTTATGTCCCTGGCTGTGACCCTGCCCCTGGTTTTTCTCTGGCCATGACCCTGCCCTGGTTCTGTCCTATCCCTGGCCCTGTCTCAGTTCTGTCCTAGCCCTGGCCTTTCACAGTACTTTATGCTTAGTAAGGGCTCCATAGTGTCTGTGAGTTGAATGTTGTGTTCATAGTATCTGCCAAAACAGAAAGAAAAAAAACAAAATCTGAAGATGAGAAGTTAAAGCTTTGTATATAATATGCCTTGAATTGTAAGTGCTTGTTATTAGTTGTATTACATGTAGGTCATGGTTTTGTACACATAACTCCAAACCATTGATACTGTTAAAAGACTATATGAATATATGAAAGAATATATAAACGTAAGAATGTATGAGTATCTAATGACCTCTCCAAATTAATTTTTATTTTTAGCTCTATTAGATTTTTCTCAGTGTAACAAATGTTTATTCCTATGTAATTAAGGGCATATTTCCTGTACAGAATATTCATATTACTTAATTGAAAATTATATAATGCAAAAATATAATACTATTTTTAGGCCAGGCATGGTGGCTCATACCTGTAATCCCAACATTTTGAGAGGCCAAGTTTGGAGAATCATTTGAGTCCAGGAGTTGACCAGCCTGGGCAACATATTGAGACCTTTTCTTTATTAAATAAATAAATAAGTAAATAAATAGGATGGGCACTGTGGCTCATATCTGTAATCCCAGCATTTTGGGTTGCGAAGGCAGGAGGATTGCTTGAGCCCAGGAGTTTGAGACCAGCCTGGGCAGCATAGCAAGACTCCATCTCTACAAATAATAAAATATTAACCAGGTGTGGTGGTGCGCACCTGGGGTCCCAGCTACCTGCGAGGCTAAGGTGGGAGGTTTGCTTGAGGCTGCAGTGAACTGTGAATGCACCACTGCATTCCAGCCTAGGCCACAGAACAGGACCTTGTCTACCAATGAATAAGTAAAAATATAAATAAAAATAAGTAAAAAGAAATATAAGTAAATATAAATATAAATACATATAAATATAAAAATGAATACATGAAAACAAACAATTTTTAAATTTAACATCACTGAGGGCATCCTATCCATTTCATTTCATGATTCCATTACATCATTTCACTTAGATGAAATGATAAGATTACTTGAGATGAGATGAAATGATGAAATTTTGAGATGAAATGGTGAGTAGAAATGATGAGATGAAATGATGAGATAAAATGACAAAATTGAAAAGAAATTGAAAGGAGATGAGATGAGATGAAATGAGATGATGGATGAAATGATGAGATGAAACGAGATGAAATGATGAGAAGAAATGATGAGATGAAATGAAATAATGAAATGAAATGATATGAAATAATGAAATTGAGATGAGATGAGATGATATGAGATAAAATGATGAGATGAAATGAGATGAACGATAAGATGAAACAATGAAATAAGATGAGATGATAAGACGAAATGATGAAATGAGATGAAAAATGAGATGAAATAATGAAATGAGATGAAATCAAATAATGAAAGGAAATTATGAAATGTAATGATGAAATAATGAAATGGCAATGATGAGATGAGAAGAAATGATGAGATGAAATGATGAAATGATGAGATGAGATGAAATGATGAGATGAAATGAGATTAAATGATGAGATGAGATGTGATGAAATGAGATGAAATGATGACATGAAATCAGATGAAATAATGAGATGAAATGATGAGATGAAATGATGAGATGAGATGAGATGAAATGTGATGAGATGAAATGACATAATGAAATGAAATAAATGAAATGATGAAATGGAATAATGAAATGGAAATGATGAGATGAGATGCAATGAGTTGAAATGATGAGATGAAATGGTGAGATGAAAAGATGAGATGAGACGAGATGTGATGAAATGATGACATGAAATGACATAAAATGAGGTGAAATAAGATGTAATGAATGAAATGAGATGAAATGATGAGATGAGATGAAATGAAATGGTGAGATAAAGTGATGATATGAAATGATATGAAATGATGAGATGAATGATGAGATGAAATGATAAGAGGAGATGATGAGATGAAATGATGAGATGAAATGATGAGATGAACTGATGAGATGAAATGAAATAATGAAATAATGAGATGAATGATATGAAATAATGAAATAAAATGAAATTGAAATAAAATTGGAATGAGATGAGATGAAATGATAAGATGAAATGATGAAATAAAATGATGAAATGATGAGATGTGATGAGATGAAATGATGAGATGACATGACATGAAATAATGAAATGAAATAATGAAATGAAATTGAGATGAGAAGATACGAGATGAGATGAAATGATGAGATGAAATGAGTTGATGAGATGATGAGATGAAATGATGAGATGAAAAGATGAGATGAAATGATGAGATGAAATGAAATGATGAGATGAAATTAGATGAAATGTAATGAGATGAAATGAAATGACATAATGAAATGAAAAAATGAAATGAAATAATGAAATGAGGTGAAATTAAATGAGATGATGAAATTAAATGATGAAATGGAAATGAAATGGAAATGATGAGATGAGATGAAATGATGAGATGAATGATGAGATGCAATGATGAGATGAAATGATGAGATGAGATGAGATGTAATGATGAGATGTAATGAAATGAGATGAAATGAATGAGATGAAATGAAATAATGAAAGGAAATTGAATTGAGATGAGATGAGATGAAATGATGAGATAAAATGAGATGAAATAAGAAATGATGAGATGAAATGATGAAATGATGAGATGAGATGAAATGATGAGATGAAATGAGATTAAATGATGAGATGAAATGATGAGATGAGATGTGATGAAATGAGATGAAATGATGACATGATATGATGACATGAAATCAGATGAAATAATGAGATGAAATGAGATGAAATGATGAGATGAAATGATGAGATGAGATGAAATGAGGTGAGATGAAATGTGATGAGATGAAATGACATAATGAAATGAAATAAATGAAATGATGAAATGGAAATGATGAGATGAGATGCAATGAGTTGAAATGATGAGATGAAATGATGAGATGAAAAGATGAGATGAGACGAGATGTGATGAAATGATGACATGAAATGACATAAAATGAGATGAAATAAGATGTAATGATGAAATGAGATGAAATGATGAGATGAGATGAAATGAAATGGTGAGATAAAATGATGATATGAAATGATGAGATGAATGATGAGATGAAATAGATAAGAGGAGATGATGAGATGAAATGATGAGATGAACTGATGAGATGAAATGAAATGAAATAATGAAATAATGAGATGAAATGATATGAAATAATGAAATAAAATGAAATTGAAATAAAATTGAGATGAGATGAAATAAGATGAAATGAAATAAAATGATGAAATGATGAGATGTGATGAGATGAAATGATGAGATGACATGACATGAAATAATGAAATGAAATAATGAAATGAAATTGAAATGAGATGAGAAGATACGAGATCAGATGAAATGATGAGATGAAATGATGAAATGATAAGATGAAATGAGTTGATGAGATGATGAGATGAAATGATGAGATGAAAAGATGAGATGAAATGAGATGATGAGATGAAATTAGATGAAATGAAATTAGATGAAATGTAATGAGATGAAATGAAATGACATAATGAAATGAAATAATGAAATGAGGTGAAATTAAATGAGATGATGAAATTAAATGATGAAATGAAATAATGAAATGGAAATGAAATGGAAATGATGAGATGAGATGAAATGAGATGAATGATGAGATGCAATGATGAGATGAAATGATGAAATGATGAGATGAGATGAGATGTAATGATGAGATGTAATGAAATGAGATGAAATGAATGAGATGAAATGAAATAATGAAGGAAATTGAATTGAGATGAGATGAGATGAAATGATGAGATAAAATGAGATGAAATAAGAAATGATGAGATGAAATGATGAAATGCTGAGGTGAGATGAGATGAAAGGAGATGAAATGATGAGATGAAATGAAAGGATGAGATGAAATGACGAAATGAGATGAGGTGAGATGAGATGAAATGAGATGAAATGAGATGAAATGATGAAATGATGAGATGAGAAGAAATGAGATGAAATGAGGTAAGATGAGATGAAATGATGAGATGAGATGAAATGAAATAAAGTGAAATGAAATGAAATAATGAAATTGAGATGAGACGAAATGAGTTAAACTGATGAGATGAAATGAGAAGAAATGAGATGAAATGATGAAATGAGATATGATGAGATGAAATGATGAGATAAAAATGATGAGATGAAATGATGAGATGAATTGAAATGAGATGAAATGATGAAATGATATTGAAATGAAATTGAAAGATGAGATGAGATGAAATGATGAAATGTTGAAATGAAATGATGAAATGAAGAGATGCGGTGAGATGAAATGATGAGCTGAAATGATGAGACAAAATGAAATGAAATGAGATTAAATGAGATGAAAAATGATGAGATGAAATGATGAGATGAAATGAGATGAGATGAATTGAGATGAGATGAGATGAAATAATGAGACTAGGTGAAATAATGAAATGAGATGAAATGAAATAATGAAATGAAATTGAAATGAGATGAGAAGAAATGATGAGATGAAATGTTGAAAGGAGGAAATGATGAGATGAGATGAAATGATGAGATGAAATGAATTGAGATGAAATGATGAGATGAAAAATGATATGAAAAATGATGAGATGAAATGAGATGATATGAAGTGACATAATGAAATAAATGAAATTAGATGAAATTAAATGAAATAGTGAAATGAAATAATGAAAATGAAATGGAAATGAGTTGAGATTTGATGAAATGATGAGATGATATGAGATGAGATAAAATGAGATGAAATGATGAGATGAAATGATGAAATGAGATGAAATGATGAGGTGAAGTGATGCACTGTCACGTGTGTGTCTATTCTTTTTCCCAACCAACAAAAATTATAATTCATTTTAATTTTATTATTTAAGAATATTCTTAAGAGTTGAAGGAAAAATAATATCTACATTATGGGTTACAATCTAAGTATAAATAATACATAAATATATTAAAACTTACAAAGAATACGTTTTGGAATCAAATATACCATGCTTCTGTGATGACAGTTATTTCATGCTGGTTGTCACAATTTTACATGAAAAACTAATGAAAAAATGTTTTTAACTGTTTCTAAAAATAAGTTTCCAAAAGAGTTTTACATTCAAAATATGAAAAAGATGTCTTTGCGTTTCTTAATCTGATGAGATTTTCACACTCTGCACATGATAATTGTTAGATTTTTATTGTGTTGATAAATTGTATATCAAATAAAAAATGTTATTACCTCTTAGGATTTTTAGGTGATATAGGCAGAAAGGAGGGCAAGTTTTTATAACTTTGTCTAAATGAACTTTCTAAATGCCTGAGTATTAAAAGATAACGTCTATAAATCACAATGTATATATTACTGTATGACCTAGGACCAATCAAAACCGTTATCTCTGATAACATTATATTGTGCCCAATATAAAATAGATATAATAATACCTCAAACTTAAATCCAGGCATTGTCATTGAATATCTTAGGAATATGCAGCAAAGGTGCTTTTAAAAATACAAGCTAGTGATTGTACTAAATTTGTAAATCACATAGGATAGTGGGTCATTTTAAGAATATTAGTTATTTCAATCTATAAACGTGGATGTCTTTCCTTTTTTGTGTTTTCTTTAATTTCTTTCATTAATATTTGTCATTTTTGTTGTAGAAATCTTTTACTTCCTTGGTTAAATTTATTTCTAAGTACATTTTTGCAGCTATTGTAAAAGGAATTGCTTTCTTAATTTCTTGTTTCAGCTAGTTTACTATCAATATATAGAAATGCTACTGATTTTTGTATGTTGATTTATATCCTGCAACTTTATTAATTTCATGTATCACCCTAAGAAGCTTTTGGTAGCATCTTATTTTTTTCCGTGTATAAGATCACATTGTCTTTAAACAAGGACAATTTGACTGTCTCCTTTCCAATTCAGATATCCTGTATTTCTTTCTCTCACCTAATTGTCCTGGCTAAGACTTTCACTATGTGAAATATGATTGGTGAAAATAGGCATCCTTTTCTTGTTACAGTAAAATCTTTTTCTTGTTCACAGTAAAATCTTTCACCTTTTCCACACTCAGTATGATCTTAGCTGTAGATTTGTCCTTTATGTCCTTCTGTGTTAAGGCATATATTTTCTACACTAAATTGTTAAGAGGTTTTTTGTCATGTAAGAATATTTAATTTTGCCAAATGCTTTTATTGTGTTTATTAATTTGATCATATGGTTTTCAGTATATATCCAAAGGAAAGAAAATCAGTATATCAAAGAGTTACCTGCACCTGCATGTTTATTACAACACTATTCACAATAGCCAAGATATGGAATCAACAAAAGTGTCCATCAACAGATGAATGGATAAAGAAATGTGACATACATATATAATGGAATATTATTTAGTCGTAATAAAGAACAAAATCCTGTTATTTGTGGCAACAAGAATGCAAGTGGAGGGCATTATGTTAGGTGAAATAAGCCTGGCATAGAAACATAAACACCACATAACTACGTGTTCTCACTTATGTATGGAAGCTAAAATTTTTAATCTCGTAGAAGTAGATAGTAGAGTTTTGGTTACCATATCCTGGAAAGAGTAGGAGAAAGAAGAGTATAAGAAAAATGTGGTTAATACATACAAAATTACAGGTGGAGAGAAGGAAGAAGTTCTAGTTCTCTACAGCACTGTTGGGTGACTGTAGTTAGCGGGAATTTATTGTGTGTTTTCAAATAACTAAAATAAAAGATTTTGAATATTCTCACTGCAAAGAAATAATACATGATTTAGGTAATGGATATGATAATGACTGTGACTTGATCTTTATGCATTGCATAAATATATCAAAATATCACTCTGTACCCCATAACATGTACATTTATTATATGTCAAAGTAAATTTAAAAGAGAAAAAATGAGGTAAAGGTAAATGTACAGAATTTAATTACTTTTTCTTCTATAAAACCCAAGAGTCAGTACCAAGAAGAGTCAATTTATTAGTTTTCTAAAATAAAAAAAATCAAAGTCGCCAAAAAAGAGCAATATCCAAGAAAACATTGAAAATGAAACACAACATTTAGTAAGAATAGAAAACTTGGGCACTGTATCACCCTGTTCCTAGATACCGATTTACTGATAGCAATTTAAATAGAATTTTATTCTATCTAATTCGTTTATACTCCCAGAGTTCGAAATTACATTTTACCTACAATAAATGAGATAACACTTGCAAATTATATGGTACTCTGCCTAACACACGTTAATAACTCAATACATGTTAGCAATAAACTTTTAGTATAGTAGTCAAAGTATTAATTTCTCACATTGCAAAGTTCCTTCAAAGACATGAATACAACCTTTCTAATGACTCCTTGTTCATCAAGATACCTCTTCAAATTATTCTATTTATTTCATTCAGTATATTATCTGTGTATACCGATATGATATTACACTCTTTTTTTTTTTTGAGATGGAATCTCATTCTGTTACTGATGCTGGAGTGAGGTGGCATGATCTCGATTCACTGCAACCTCCACCTCCCAGGTTCAAGCGATTCTCCTGTCTCAGCCCCCCAAGTAGCTAGGACTACAGGTGCACACCACCATGCCTGGCTAATTTTTGTATTTTTAGTACAGTCAGAGTTTCACCCTGTTGTCCAGGCTGGTCTCAAACTCCTGACCTCAGGTGATCCACCCACCATGGTCTCCCAAAGTGCTGGGATTACAGGCATAAGCCGCCGCACCCAGCCTGATATTGCACTCTTGGATTTTGAACACTGAATATCTTTTTGAGAGATTACACCTCTTTACCTCTTTGTGCTTCAGAAATTATTTTCCTTCAAGTGTTCTAAGAGTCTAATGAAGAATGAAGTCATGTTTTATCACTTTTGTCCTTAAAGATTTCAGACATGCTGAAACTGATTGAAGTATCATTTGCTACCAGATAGATTAATTATCTCTAGTTGTAGGAGTGGATACATCTTTAATGGTATATTTTGGGTTATTGTCTTATTTTTGATGCAGTGTTCTATAAATAATTTATTAAACCTGGCATCCTTGGGTGAGCATGGATTTTTCAACTTTGGTGTTATATTGTGTTTGCTTTTAAAAACTGCTTTTGAGGCCGGGTATGGTGGCTCTTGCCCATACCCAGCACTTTGGGAGGCCAAGGTGGGCGGATTACCTCAGGTCAGGAGTTCAAGACCAGCCTGGTCAACATGGCAAAACCATGTCTCTACTGAAAACACAAAATTAGCCAGGCATGGTGGTACATGCTTGTAGTCCTAACCACTCAGGAGGCTGAGGCAAGAGAATCACCTGAACCTGGGAGGCAAAGGTTGCTAGGTTGCTGTGAGCCAAGTTCGCACCATTGCACTCCAGCCTGGGTGAAAAGAGCAAAACTCTGTCTCAAAAAAAAAAAAAAAAAAAAAAAACCACCAAAAACTGCTTTTGAATGGAGTTGTACATACAATCTTTATGAAAAAAAATATCAAGTGCATAAGTTCATAATAGAAAAACCAATAATACTCCAGGCACAAGTTAGTACTAAAAAAGTTATGTTGAATATTCTCTAATACAACATGCTTTTTCCCTTCATGAACGATTTGTGTTTTACTGAGAAGAGTCATTGTTTATGGTAGACATTAGACTACAGATGAATATGTACTTTAAACACTCTTAGTTGCTTTCGTAATTTTATATCTGCTGCTTTATGCTTCTGTTTATTTTCATTCTTTCCAATGTCCACATTCTAGTAAATTTGAATATTTTAATCCAAGTTTATATACTATTTAATATTGCTTGTATAGTTTAGTATTTTTAAGACTCAAAAAGGTTTACAGAAAGAAGAAAAAGATCAACATGTTATTAATCATTTAAAGATCATTTTAAAATCTTTGACCTTTATATTTTAATGAATAAAATGTTGGTAGTTATTAGTATAAAATAATTTATGTCTTTTGGACTTAGCATCCAGTATTTCTTTTTTAATAAAGAAAATAATTATTCTCTTGCAATATACTACGTTTATCTGGGTTTTGAAAAATGATGTTTCCTAATATGAGAAAGCCATTTACATTTTTAAATCTACAAAGGCAAATGGAATGGTACTAAATTATTTACATAATAATGTTTAGGTGGTGGCCCTTATAACATTCTTTCTATACTTCCTACAGAGTTGGGGATATGCAATCCTAGAATATTTCTGGGAGCTAATCCTTTAGCTTGATGAATGAAACAAGACTTTTAAATAAAATTAAACTTTCAAATTATCCAGGTAATGGGCCTGTCTTTTAATTCAATGGATATGGAGCATAATGAATTATCCCCTGTTCATTGGGTAATAAGTTCTCATTCTTAACTTCTAATACTCAAAATGTCCTTTAATTTTTAATTTTCAATAGTCATATCATTATCCCTAGGTATTTTAGCTTCTATCTTAAATTCTAAAATAATTTTGAAACAGGAGAAAGTATTCTTTATTACTATATGTATTAAACATCATGGTTTTCAAATTTAACTGCAAATGTATCTTTTCATTGCTTCTTGGTGACGCCCTTCACCCTATCCATATTGTCACTACCAAGTGGTGATTACTTTTCAGGTTCACATACTTGTTCTTTAGAAAAATCTTCCCTGTGCCTTATAAAGAATATGATTGTTGGCATTCAAAAGCCAGCGAAGTATACATTATTAGCCTGTTGCCTAACTAATTTCTTTAAGAAACTACACTAATTACCCACATACTTATGTTTTTATTTCCTCATTATTTCTGGAGAAAACAAATACTGCTAACATGATATTTGTAAGAGAGAAAAAAGTCTTTTCTTGAAAAGTGCTGTCATTGTAGTACTAACTTATAGTATCAACTTCTTTATCAACTCCTTATACACTTTTTATTCTGAGAGAAATAAAAAAGCTAAAAGTGAAATGACTTTTTTTACTCTCCATATTATAAGCACCCATCTTGGTAATTTAGGGTCTTTATAGTTAGGGTAAGTTGTGTCATACCGAGGTTACAAAATAATAAGTATTTTGTCTCTTTGGGCCTTTCCTTATTCAGTAATACTGTCAGTTTGGCTTTTTTTCTAGGTCAACTTATTGATCTCAGTATTCTGAAATAATATGTTTACTATATTTTGATAAGCATTTAAAATATTAGATTTATTGTTACTCTTCTGCCTTCATTGGGCTGGAAGAATAATTGTTTCTCTCACTCCACAAAAGCCAAGTTGCAGAGAAAAACACATAGACATTCAACTGCAAAGCAGAGAAACTCAACTATTTCCTGCAATTTTAAAGTGTATATTGAATAAAACCATCTTTTTATTTTCTTTTTTGCTCACTGGCAAATATTAACAACATCAAGTGTGTTATTATAATGTTATCTAGTTAAAAATCTCAAAAAGTTTTCATAATTACCATTTAAAAATATATAAATAGGTGACCTAATGTTAATTTGTATTGTCTGAGACCATGTCTGTTATTTCACTCTTTAAATTCAGTTAGTCATGCAGAACCTAGCACTTAGTGGATACTCAAAAATTATTTGCTGGATAAAAAAAGGTTAAACATGTAATATATACAAAATGTACTAGAAAAAATGCACCAAACAATTTTGTTATGGCAGTTTAATGTAGAATATTGCCTTTAAAAGATAATATAGTTTTCAGGTGTCTACAGTGATTTTGTAATATTTGTGCACATATAAAATAATATTTCCAAAAATGTAATCCAGTGAGGAAATATACTTTCTAAATTCTAGATTTATAATTTAGGGTTTAAATTATAAAATCATTAAGACACAAGTGAAATATAGTCAAATATCCCCTTGGAAAAAAATTAAGTGGCCTCTAAAGTGAGGTATTCATATATGTAATTTTACAATCCTCTAGTGATAGAATTAATTAAATACACCACCAAATTGATTAATTCCTACAGTGTTAAAAGAGAAGCACTAATAATGCCAGTGACCATGTAACATGGATTAAGCTACAAGTCATAGAAATGTGATGAGAAGCCTCAGCGCTGTAAAACAGAGGGTGGAGGAAAGCTTTTCCTCTCTCAAATGAGATTTGCCAAGTATACTTCTTGAAGAATAGGAAGTTGAAGTGTTCAGGACTTTTATGTCTATTCTACTTTGGCTTAGTTTACATGATTCTTAGTTTATTAGCCTAGAAATGGCCAAGAAAACTTAAGGCTCAATAATTAGTTATAAATATGAAATATCCCCAATTTTTAAGATAAAAACAACTTATAAATGTATTTGTCTGTAAAAATTGTGTATATTTTTACAGAACATCTATTTCTTTCTTTTTTTATTTTTTTATTATACTTTAAATTCTAGGGTACACATGCACAATGTGCAGGTTTGTTGCATATGAATACATGTGCCATGTTGGTGTGCTGCACCCATTAACTCATCATTTATATTAGGCATATCTCCTAATGCTATCCCTCCCCCCTCCCCCCACCCCACAACAGGCCCTGGTGTGTGATGTTCCCCTTCCTGTGTCCAAGTGTTCTCATTGTTCAATTCCCATCTATGAGTGAGAACATGCGGTGTTTGGTTTTTTGTCCTTGTGATAGTTTGCTAAGAATGATGGTTTCCAGCTTCATCCATGTCCCTGCAAAGGATATGAACTCATCATTTTTTATGGCTGCATAGTATTCCATGGTGTATATGTGCCACATTTTCTTAATCCAGTCTATCGTTTTTGGACATTTGGGTTTGTTCCAAGTCTTTGCTATTGTGAGTAGTGCCACAATAAACATACGTGTGCATGTGTCTTTATAGCAGCATGATTTATAATCCTTTGGGTATATACCCAGCAGTGGGATGGCTGGGTCAAATGGTATTTCTAGTTCTAGATCCCTGAGGAATGGCCACACTGTCTTCCACAATGGTTGAACTAGTTTACAGTCCCACCAACAGTGTGAAAGTGTTCCTATTTCTCCACATCCTCGGCAGCACCTGTTGTTTCCTGACTTTTTAATGATCGCCATTCTAACTGGTGTGAGATGGTATCTCATTGTGGTTTTGATTTGCATTTCTCTGATGGGTCTATTTATTTAAAACAAAGGGAGGGAAGTCTCATTTACATTAGTTTTTTTCAGAGCCTTTTGAACTTTGCAATTTCTATGTTTCAGAACCTATTTCTTACAGTTTTTCTACGCTAAACTCTGTCCTGGTCAGTTCTAGAGTGTATGGAGAACCAAATGATGTAACTGTATGCGACCTGGCTGTAGTGGAACAAATTTGACTCTTAAGTATGCAGGCTCTAATTTTTCTGTCTGGTTTTGGTAAGTATTCCTTACACAGGTTTTTCTTTGAAAATCTGGGATTGAGAGGTTGATGAATGAAAATTAATCCTTTCACTTTGTTGTGTATAGGTTTGCAATAATTAGGTCAGAGTGGAGTTTTAAGGTCATGGAGGGGGCTGATGACTTACAAATAATGGGCTCTGATTGGGCAACTGCTCATCTGAGTTCCTTCCACTTGACCTAATTAAGCTTGTGAAATTTACACTAAGCCATGAGCTCATCTTTAAAAAGTTTTATTAAAAGATTTTCAGCTGTTCCAAATAGGACTTATTGGTGGAATGTGTTTTAAAGGATCCTATCAGATGAATGAAAGGTATTTGATCCTTTGTTTCCTTAATAATAAAATGATGGTTTGGAAAAATAGGCTAGAGTCTAACCACAGTGTTATTATTAGGCTTTCTTGTTAAACATAGGTCTAAGCCCAAGTATGTCAATACAACAAATACTTACTGTTTCATTTCTAGTAATAAAAAAATAAAGTCTTTCTGGCATAAGGATGATTTTCATCTGGTTATTTTGAAACATTTTTGTAAAATAAATTTCCATCTATAAAGAACATTTTTAATTTGTAAGGAGGGGTATGTCTCTGTGCACTGGAAGAGAGGGAGGACTAAATCACTGGGAAGTCTTATGATAAAGAAGCCATTGGCTTAAATCAGCAAAGCAAGCCATCTCTTGGTTTAAGGTGTTTTTCCTGGCCATCCTGTCTTGACTAGAACTTTACCTACACCTTCCTTTTTGGTTTAGGCAAATTATCATATCTAAACCTGAAGTCTCAGCTCTGTGTCTTTGAGATATAAATGTTCTACCACGTCTTCTCTGGAACCTGATAACTATCTATCTCTTTAAAATGCAAGTCTAGGGAGATGACTCATCAGAAAAAGAAGAAAAAAGAGGTATTTGGAAATTGTGCAAATTAAAGCAGCCCCTGATGCCAAAGTCTACACATTCCTGAGTGAGTCAGTTCTGGCCAGTTCTAGCTGGATCAAGAGAGCTCTGCTGGGCAAGCCTGAAGAGCACCTGGATGGCAGACACCTGAGGAGCCAGGTGCCTGAAACTTCCTCCACCTGGTTGAGGAGCGCTAAAGCCCAGGTGCTGGCTGGACAACCCCTTCTGGTTGCCTAAGCAGGTGGCAGAAGAAGGAAACAAGGTCAGAGGCAGAGTGTTGAACCCTGCCTCCCAGGTGGGTGGAAGATGCCTGTCGCCAAACTAGGGCCCAGCTTGCCGGGTGAGATGGGTGAACTGGTGATCCCCCGAGAGAGTGGACGTCAGAACTACATGGTCCTGGACCTCACCTCGGCCAGCGAAGGAGAGAGAGGGTTAATGTTAACTGCACGAGGCCCACTCTAGCCTTAAATTCTGAAATTCAAACCCTTCCCTTGGAGACAAAACAAACATGACAAGGAATTCTGACATCAGGGGACAAGAATCACAAGTTCCCTAGTGGGAGACTGAGGAGGCAGTGTCCTTCCTGCCCTTGGTCTACTGGCTAAGAACCTTCCTCAGCCTGACCTTTCCACATTGCACTTCCAGCTCTGTTTGCAATTTTCCTCCTTTAGTGCTGAGGGAATCCCAGTGTTCGATCCTGAAATCTATAGGTTCCTAATGGGTGGTTAAAAAAAACCTCAGCGAGAGAAGCAGAAAATGTTTCCTCTTCCTGAAAAACTGTAGAAAGGCAGGCACCATTCTGGGTGAGGACATGGTCCTTGCAAATGTCTTTGTGTTTTGTTTTGTTTTTTTATTTTGAGATGAAGTTTTGCTCTTGTTGCCCAGACTGGAGTGCAGTGGTGTGACCTCTGCTCATTGCAACCTCCGCCTCCTGGGTTCAAGCAATTCTCCTACCTCAGCCTCCTGAGTAGCTGGAATTACAGGCACCTGACACCACACCTGGCTAATTTTTTGTATTTTTAGTAGAGATGGGGTTTTGCCATGTTGGCCATGTTGGTCTCTTAACTCCTGACCTCAAGTGAGCCACCCGCTTCTGCCTCCCAAAGTGCTGGGATTACAGGAGTGAGCCACCGTGTCCCACTGTGAGTGAGTGAGCCACAGCAAAAGTCTTTAAAGACAGCATGTTTCAGAGGCTGTGACGGTGCCCTGTGAACATGCCAAATCTCGCAGTCCCGGGAGCTCTGAGGAGCAGGCCCAGCTCCTTGCCAGGCTGATGGTACTGAAACTCTGCTCTCCAAGACATAACCTGATGGCCGTGCAAGATTTCTTAATTGACTGTGGACCGTGAGAGTCTGCATCTCATTTTAATTAAGACAGGAAAAGAAAGAACAAAAGAGCAACTCCCAGGTTATAGAGAGACTGGATTTTAGTATAATATTCAAGTGTAGCATTGCTAATAATAACAAACCTTTCCCCTCCCAAACGGTAAATACTTGCACTGCCTATTATACAAAAATTCAACCATCCTCTCTGTTCCCCCAATATCTCCTCCCCAGTGACCCCCCTCTCATGCGGCCTCATGAGCCTGGCCAGTGGTGAATGGCACTTTCATGGGCATGAGACTCCACGTGAGTGGGACTCAGCTGGGACCCCTCTCCACGTGGGAGCTGGAGAAGCCACCCTAGTACCAGCTTAAAGTGTCCGTGATGTCCCTGCTGCTGAGGTAGGGGCCGCCTCTGAGCTGGTCTCGGGGTGTGAGCTGCTGCTGGTAGTGGGCTCTGCCCTGAGGGCCTGGTGGCTGGTCGGAAGGGCAGGCACACATGGGTGACTCCCCAGGATCTCAGGCCACCTCCCCACCACAGTCCTGCACTGTGTGTTCCAGGCATGTGCTGAGTGCCTGGTCAATCACCAGTGCCCTATTGATCCCCGTCTCCAGAGAGATCATTTAGCGTCACTCCACAGAGGGGGAAACTGAGGCCCAGAGAAGTAAGGTGACTCTCCCCAGTCACAGGTCTGGTCAGGAGTAGGATGGGAGGCTAGTCCCTTGCTGTCTGACTCCCTGAGCCCACCCATATCCCAAGGCAGCCAACCTCTGCCCGCCCTGGCTCAGGCCCCGACTGGCCCCTGTGGTGGGTGATGTCTATCTTCCTGGCCTTTGTGCTCCCAGCCAACTGGGATGGAGCCTCCAGCTGGCATGACAGGTTGTAGCTACGGACAGAAGAGTGGCTGTGAGGCTGCCAGGAATCTCACCAGGGCCCCCTCCCAGGGCCTGTCCAGAGTGAGGTCTGGGTACCCCAGGCATTGCCAGGCCACAGGATCTGATGTTGGCCAAGAGGCTATGGCCACAGGCTTTCTGAGGCTGGCCCCCAGGGAGAGTTCAATCCTACTGTCCCAATTCCTGCCCTGGCCTTACCTCTCAGTCTCACCGAGCCGCTTCATGGTCCCAAACCAGGACCCAAAGTGCTGCTTGGGCTTAAGGTTGTAATTATTTGCAGCCAACTGGAGCAGCAGACCTCCTTGCTTACTTTGAATTCCTGGGTCCAGAGGGAAAAACTGGGTGGTGACAGGGACTGGACAGGGATGCCACAGGGGCCCTGTGGGGGTGTTAGGTGGGGTGGTGGCCAGTCTTTGCTCATAGGGGACCCCCTCCTCCTCTCCAGTCCTGTCCCCACCTGTTCTCAGAGCTGGCTCAAGCAGCAGCTCCTCCAGGAAGGTGTCCTTGGTTTCAACCTGGTACTCCCACCTGCAGGTCTTCCTGGAGTGTCTCCTCTTTGTCTGTCTCCCCATAAATCTAAGACGAGGGGGATGGATTTGCCCACCGCTACTCACCGTATGACTCTTGGGAGGTTGATCTGTCTCCCCTGCAAGGCCAACAGCTGAAGTCCATCAGAAAGGGTCCTCTGGCCCAGAGCCAGCCCCTGCCCACCCCTGTCATGCTGCACCCAGGGTGCAAGACCCAGATCAGGTCTCGGTGACAGGAGGGGTATAGAGGGGCTGAGGCTCAGGGGCCTTCTAGCCTAACTTGTCTGGAGACAGTTGGGGAAACTGAGACGCCAAGCAGGAAGGTATGGCTCCGAGAGATTATTCTCATTAACCTGGAACACTTTTGCAAGCTGTTAGGTATAGGAAGTCTGTCACAGGTAAGAGAAATGCTTTTTGAGAGCATGAGAGACAGCAGGGTTGTGACAATATTGAAACACCACTGTGCAGATTCACCAATTGCCACCACCAGGAGCCCCCTGAGAGTCATTGCAGATGCACAGCCCTCCCCTGCAACCCCTGGACCTCCCCATGGTCTGGCACCTAAAGGGTTATGACTCATGGCAGGAATCAGGGCCCTCAGGATGCCCTGCCCACTCCAAGGTTTGCCTCTGCTCTGATTGGTCACTGCCATTCAGATTGTCACCCAAATATAAGGACGTTAGCAGAAAGACTCATTCAATACAAGTGGACTCAGACATAGATAGGATTTGGGTTGCAAAAAGCCCCTTTTGTTCTTTTATTTTATTTTGGAAAAAACTGTTATTGTGAAAATTCACACATATATATAGAAAAAAACCCAATCAATGCAAAAGGATAGACAATGAACAAATGAATTCCCCTTCCACTCCAGATCCGCACCTCAGATCCAGACCTCCTGAGCCCACTTCCCCCATCTCATCACAGATCCAGACCTCCTGAGCCCACTTTCCCCATCTCATCACAGATCCAGACCTCCTGAGCCCACTTTCCCCATCTCATCACCAGTGATTTCTTGGGCTCTGCATTAGTTTTCTATTGCTGCTGCAACAAACAGCTACAGACTCAGTGGCTTCCATTTCTGTCTTATAGTTCTGGTTGCCAAAATTCCTAAGAGGATCTCACTGGGCTAAAATCAAGGTGCTAGCGGGGCTATGTCCCTTCTGGAGGCTTAAGGGATGAATCGGCTCCCTGCCTTTTCTAGCTTCTGGGGGCTCCAGCTTCTAGGTTTGTGGCCTTCTTTCTCTATCCTCAAAGCCAGCAACAGCAGGTGAAGTCCTCGCCCATCGTGCATCACTCTCCCTTCTGCCTCCTTCAACTTTTTTTTTTTTTTTTTGTATTTAGGGGGAACGAGTACAGGATTCTTACATAGTCAAAAAGCTCCTTATAGAGAAGCTCGGAACTTTGAATACAGCTTTGCCTTTTTTGCCATTTTAATTTTCCATTTAATTTAAATGTATTCTCTCATTTGACCTTCATACTCTGTGGAGAAATATTTCTATTTCGGCTTGTATTGACAAGCTGTTTTCACACAGCCCCCGCATCACCCAACCAACCAGCAGAGATCCTCATTCCCATGAAACAGATAAAGAAACTGAGGCCCAGGGAGGCTAAGTCCTGCCAGGATCATTCACCTTCTAAGGTAAGGAGCCATTTCCAGACCTGGGTTTGTGCAGCTCCAAGCTCCCCCGTCTTTCTACAATGCTAGATTTAGACTATAGCAATCTAGCAAGTGTGGCCACACAATGGTCAAGTTGGATTTAGATGATGTTCTCTATAAATCCATTCTCCTCTCCCGTGTAAGCAAGGCAAAGTACTCTAGGCCATGGGGAGTCCCTGAAGACTCGATGAACTGCAGTGGCCACGTCAGGAGGTTGCAGGTTGACCAGAACTCACCGACACAGCAGGAGAGCAGCTTGGAACCTGCAACTCAGCCAAGACCCAGTGCCTTGGATTGGGGGAGAAAACATGCAGCCATTCCTCTCTCTCTCTCTGTTGGCTAGAGGGGATTCTGGCTTTTCCTGCCAGAGCCACCCCTTTCCCTCCTCCTAAAGTTGATGGTGGTTCTTTAAGGAAAGGGAGAAGTGCACGGTGTGACAGGGCAGGAAGAGAAGAAAACGGAGGAGAGGAGGGGACTTTCCCATAAGCAGGCAGAAGAAAAGGCAGCTGTGGTGTGTGATGGACATGGAAGCAGTGGTGTCCAATGTGGGGTCAGCCCTAGAGGAGAGACAGAGAGAGAGACAGAAAAGTGAGAGGGTCCTGACCCTTACGATTAACATGGGATCTGCCTGCAAATGCTGTTTAGGGCCATCGCCTCTTCCTGTACTGCTATTTTTGAGAGTGATGCTCCTGAGCCCCATGACCCAGTCAAATTTGATGTCCCCTTGAGCCAGATTCAGTGCTGGGAGTCCAGTGTGATCTGCCTGGATCTTGCTGCATTGAGAACAGGACAGATCTTGACACCAATACAGGGGCTGGATATGAACAGGCAACAGCTGGGTTTCTGAGTCAGAAAGACTTGGTTAATTGCTAATTGCTTAGGCGAGTAATTCAATTTTGTTCAGTCAGATTCCTCAGCTATAAAATGCAGATGACAGTACTTATTCCTCCAGGTTGTGGGGAAAATGGAGATTCTGAGCACGATGTCCATTTCACAGAAAGGTACCAATTTGGTGGCTTATTTTCCTTTCTACCTTCAGAAGTGGCTAACCCTGCCACCCAAACAGACCCTTGACTCTCAAGTGGATGGGGTCCCATTTGCACAGGGGGAGAGCTTACAGCCTATGTTGAGTCTATACTTACCACTTAGTGAGCATGGTATCCGCTCAGGGGCCTCTGTGGGCATCCGTCTCCTCTGCGGCATCTTTCCTCCCCACCGCTGGGCCTGCACATGACCCCCTCCTTGGGTTAGGCCTCTGATCGGTGATGACCTTGGTATGGTGGTGATGGTCAGTCTTGGCACCAAATGAGCCAGTTTATATCATCAGCTATTCAATAAAACACTAATCTAGGTGTCACCATGAAAGTATTTTGTGACATTGTTATGTACGTGTTGTTACAAATGTGCATGATGCATTTACTACAGCATACAATTTTGCCTGGGTGCCAGCCTGAAGTCTGTCCGACAGATCATAGCCATGTTAGTCCCACAGTCACAGGGGCCAATGGATTAAATTATTTTATCTCCCTTGAGAACTAAAAATAAAATCCTAAGCCCCCCACCCGACTTAGCAGACCCCCTTTTGGCCAACGGAACCCGTTTCTTTTCTTTTTTTTCTTTTTTGATTGAGATGAAGTCTCATGCTTGTCACCCAGGCTGGACTGCAATGGTGCAATCTCAGCTCACTGCAACCTCCACCTCCTGGGTTCAAGCGATTCTCCTGACTCAGCCTCTCGAGTAGCTGGGATTACAGGCACCTGCCACCATGCCCAGCTAATTTTTGTATTTTTAGTAGAGATGGGATTTCACCATGTTGGTCAGGCTGTTCTTGAACCCCTGACCTCAGGCAATCTGCCCGCCTCCCTCCCAAAGTACTGGGATTAGAGGCATGAGCTACCATGCCCGGCCGCCCTTCTCTGTTTCCAGAGCATTTTGTATTAACTCCCTCTCATGATATCTTCCATGATAGGCTGAATAATGGCCCCTCCAAAGTGTCCTCAACTTAATCCCCAGAATCTGTGACTATGTTCCTTTCCATGACAAAAGGGACTTTGCAGATGTGATTAAGCATCTTGAGATGGGAACTTATCCTATGTTGCCTGTGGGCCCAGTATCCCATCACAGTGCTTTTTTTTTTTTTTTTTTTTTTTGAGACGGAGTTTCTTGCTCTTGGTGCCCAGGCGGGAGTTCAGTGGCACAATCTTGCCTCACTGCAACTCCACCTCCGAAGATTCAAGCGATTCTCTTGCCTCAGCCTCCCGAGTAGCTGGATTACAGGTGCTCGCCAACATGTCCAGCTAATTTTTGTTTTTCCAGTAGAGATGGGGTTTCACCATGTTGGCCAGGCTAGTCTCAAACTCCTGACCTCGTGATCTGCCCAGCTTGACCTCCCAAAGTGCTGGGATTACAGACATGAGCCACCACATCCAGCCTACAGTGCTCTTTTAAGAGGGACTCAGCAGTCAGGGGAGATTCCAATGCGATGGTGACTGAGTGTCTTAGTCTTTTTTGTATTGCTATGCAATAACTGAGACTGGGTAATTTATAAAGAACAAGTTTATTTCTTACAGTTCTGGAGGCTGGGAAGGTCAAGATCAAAGGGCCTGCATCTGGTGAGGGTCTTCTTGCTGTGTCATCCCATGATGGAAGGTATCACATCAAGAGAGAAAGGGGGCTGAACTCAATCCTTTTATTAGGAACCCAACCCCATGATAATTAACCCTCTGCTGAGATAACATCATTACTCTATTAATGAGGGCAGATCTTTCATGACCTAATCTCCTCTTAAAAGTCCCACCTCTCAACACTGTTGCATTGGGGATTAAATTTCCAACACATGAACTTTGGGGAACACATTCAAACCATAGCACTGTGCAGAGATTGGAGTGGTGTGCATTAAAAATGGAGGAAAGGGCCACAATCCAGGGAATATAGGTAACCACTAAAAGCAGAAAAAGGCAAGAAAATGGGTTTTCCCTTCAGAGCCTCCTGAAGAAATCAGTACTTTACAACTTGACTTTAGCCAAGTGAAACTGATTTGAGGCTTCTGACCTATAGAACAATAAGATATTAAGTCTGTGTTGTTGTAAGCCAATCAGATCGTGGTAATTTGTTACAGCAGCCATAGAAAACTAATTGACTCACCAATGGGAGAAATCAGCTGCTGATTTAAGGCTAACAAACACCTACTTCCTTTCCTAACCTCACTTTAATTTTATCTTGGAGGAATTCTTTTCCCTATCCCATTAAGTTATGGGAGATGGGGCCAGGCATGGTGGCTTAGCAATCCCAGCACTTTGGGAGGCTGAGGTGGGTGGATCACTTGAGGTCCAGAGTTTGAGACTAGCCTGGCCAACATAGTGAAACCACATCTCTACTAAAAATACAAAAATTAGCCAGGTGTGGTGGTGGGCACCTGTAATCCCAGCTACTCCAGAGGCTGTGGCATGAGAATTGCTTGAACCCAGGAAGCAGAGGTTGCAGTGAGCTGAGATCGCACCACTGCACTCTAGCCTGGGTGACAGAGTGAGAATCTATCTCAAAAAAAAAAAAAAAAAGTCATGGGAGAGGATGGTAAAGCTAAGTATCTTTTGCACCTACTCCCCAGCCCCACCACTGCAGAAGCTGAAGGGGTTCCTAGAGGCTTCTTCTGCCGTGGAGCGGTTCCCACTGGCCCCTAGCTAGAGGTGGGTGTAAGACTTTGAAACATGAACAAATGGAGCTGGGATGGTAATGGCGGGAACAATATTGTGCTAATCTGAACTCTGCACTTCCTAACTTTGGCTCTGGGTAAATTACCTCAAATTGCTGAGCCTTTGTTTCCATATTTATAAAATAGGTGCAGTAAGAGTACCAACCTCTTCTATGCTGTTTGGAGGAGGCAGGTCCATTAGGTACCTGGCATGTGGTAAGGGATTCATGAATGTTGGCTTCTATCATTAAGGGTGGGGGAGCCACATAAGTAGCCAGAGGGAGTCATAGAAAGTTCTTGAGCCAGAGAAGTAAGACAATCTTTTCAGCTTTTTGTGCAGCATAAAAGGCGGGTAATTTGCTTGCCTTTGACCAAGGAAATTTGGGACGTGCCAGGCCTGGGGTGAATGGTGGGAACCCAAGTAGAGGGATATTTCTCATTGGCTGAATTAACTGTGACTCCGTTTTGTGGAGCAGCCAGGTTGCTTCATGGTGGACCTGCTGCATGCCTACATGATGGTGCCATGGATAGCTCTTGTTTGTGCCAGCCCTGTACCTGATACCTCTTGTGGTAATTGCATCCCTATTTTCCAGAAGGAAGCATCCCTCCTCCCACTTTCTGGTTTTCCCCATGTCCTTCTGGAGGGGATGACCCCAACCGCTTCCTGAAGGAGCTTCCTGAAAGCCAGGTCTGGCCAGGCTGGATGTGGTGGTTGGCTCAGGCAGGGGCATGTGGCCCAAACGGGTCCAGTGAAAGTCAGTCCTGGGACTTTGGCTGGAACTATTGGGGAACAGCCTCTGCTTTCTTGTGCAGATGTGAGTTAGGAGCTGCTCAGGCCACTATGTGGAAAGAATTGCATGAGAATGAAGTAATCAAAGGGAAGCAAGCACTGAGAGATTAGAGAGACTTATCTTGTATAAGTGCCTGTATCCAGCTATGCCTGAAGTGAGGTACCACCCCAGGCCTTTTCAGTCATGCTATCAGTTTTGTTCCTTTTTTCTGTTTTACTCTTGGTGGAGTTATTTTTTTTTTCCTTGTTACTTGAATAAGAAAAATACCAAACTAGAAGGCTGGGTGCAGTGGCTCATGCCTGTAATCCCAGTACTTTGGGAGGCCAAGGCAGGTGGATCATGAGGTCAGGAGTTTGAGATCAGCCTGACCAACATGGTGAAATCCTGTCTCTAATAAAAATACAAAAAAATTAGCCAGGCGTGGTGGTGCGTGCCTTTAATCCCAGCTACTCAGGAGGCTGAGGCAAGAGAATTGCTTGCATCTGGGTGGCGGAGGTTGCAGTGAGCTGAGATCGTGCCACTGCACTCCAGCCTAGGTGACAGAGCAAGACTCCATCTCAAAAAAAACAAAAACAAAAACAAAGAAACAAAACAAAAAAACCAGACTAGTAAATGCAACCATTTACAAATCCCAAGAGACTCTTGAAGATTCTTTTTGTTAGTAGGGAAAACATTCTCCATTTTTCTGCCAACTTTAGGGTTTTCAGAGAAGTTTTGGGGAGAGAAAGGAAAGCAAACAGGTGGGACGAAAGAGTCCTTGAAACCCCAAGTCGGGCGAACTCCTCCCAGCTACTTATACCACAGGGTTTTGGGAGCAGAGCCCCTTTCATTAAACTTTTAGGATTCTTGGATGGATAGGGTGGGAATTACACCAGTGAAACTCAGCTTTGTGTGTGCCAGACATTGGGCCCTGGGATATGCAGTCATGTGTTGTATAATGACATTTTAGTCAATGACAAACCACATGTAAGTCACTGGTACCATAAGACGATTATGGAGCTGAAAAATTCCTATTGCTTAGTGACATAGCCATTGTAATGATAGGGTAAAGCATTTCTGTGTTTCTGGTGATGCTGGTGTAAACAAATCTGTGCTGCCAGTTCTATAAAAGCATAGCATGTACAATTACATACAATATATAATACTTGATAATGAACAACTATGTTACTGGTTTATTTTATTTTTTTGAGACAGAGTCTTGCTCTGTCGCACAGGCTGGAGTGCAGTGGCGCGATCTTGGCTCACTGCAACTTCTGCCTCACAGGTTGAAGCGATTCTTCTGCCTCAGCCTCCTGAGTAGCAGGGAATACAGGCACCCACCACCACGGCCAGCTAATCTTTGTATTTTTAGCAGAGATGGGGTTTCACCACACCGCCCAGGCTGGTCTCAAACTCCTGACCTCAAATGATCTGCCGGCCTCAGCCTCCTGAAGTGCTGGGATTACCCACATGAGACACTGTGCCCAGCCCTGGTGTATTTAGTGTTTTTCATAATTTTAGAATGTATGTCTTCTACTTACATTAAAAAATAGTTAACTATAAAACAGCCTCAGGCAGGTCCTTCAGGAAGTATTCTGGAAGAAGAAGGCATTGTTATCACAGGAGATGACATCTCCGTGCATGTAACTGCCCAGGATGGATTGCAGTGGCACGATCTCGGCTCACTGCAACCTCCACCTGCTGGGTTCAAGTGATTCTCCTGTGTCAGTCTCCTGAGTAGCTGGGATTACAGGTGCACACCACCATGCCTGGCTAAGTTTTGTATTTTTAGTAGACATGAGTGTTTCACCACGTTGGCCAGGATGGTCTTGAATTCCCGACCTCAAATGATCTTCCTGCCTTGGCATCCCAAAGTGCTGGGATTGCAGGTGTGAGACACCATGACCGGCAAAATTTTTTAAGATACATTTCAGTAAGCTAAGGTGAATTTATTGAAGAAAAGCTTTAAAAATTTTTGGTGTAGCCTAAGCATATGGTGTTTATAAAGTCTACAGTAGTGTACAGTAAGGTCCTATGCCTTCACACTCACTGACTCATCCACAGCATCTTCCAGTCCTGCAAGCTCATTTCATGGTAAGTGCCCTATACAGGAGTACCATTTTAAAATCTCTTATACTCTATTCTTACTGTATCTTCTCTATGTTCAGGTACACAAGTACTTACATTGTGTTACAACTGCTTATGGTATATTCAGTAAAGTATCAGGCTGTAAGGGTGTGTAGCCTAGGAGCAATAGGCTACGCCATACAGCCTAGGTGTGTAGTAGGCTATACAAGGTTTGGGTAAATGCACTTTGCTGTTTGCACAATGCTGCAGTCACCTAAGGAGGCATTTCTCAGAACCATCCCATGATTAAGAGAGGCATGATCATACAGTCATCATCACCCTGAAAGCTCAGTCAACCCTCTGCAGTGCTACTGCCACACTCCCCTTTTGCACATGTAGAAATCAAGGATCTTTGGCTCCTCTGAGTGACTTGTTCAAGGTTTCTCAGTTTCCAAGAGATGGAGGTGGGACTTGAATTGAGATTTCCCTTTCTTGAGAACCTGTGGTCCTTAACCATTAAAACCACTTAAGAGGTCTTCTCTCTTGATCACTACCTACTAAGTGCTAGGCGAGGTGCTGAGGCGTTCTCTTGATTATTATATTGAGTCTTTAGATTTAGGAGAAACAGGCTGAGCGCGCTGGCTCACGCCTGTAATCTCAGCACTTTGGGAGGCTGAGGTGGGAGGATCACGAGGTCAGGAGATGGAGACTATCCTGGCTAACACGGTGAAACCCTGACTCTACTAAAAATACAAAAATTAGCAGGCGTGGTGGCAGGTGCCTGTATTCTCAGCTGCTCGGGAGACTGAGGCAGGAGAATGGCGTGAACCCGGGAGGCGGAGCTTGCAGTGAGCTGAGATCGCGCCACAGCACTCCAGCCTGGGTGACAGAGCGAGACTGTCTCAAAAAAAAAAAAAAAAAAAAAAAAAAAGATTTAGGAGAAACAAGTCCCGAAGCCCTGACCCTAACACGCAAGGGTTAGTGGAGATGTGGGACTTGAACTCAGCTTCTCCGTTGACTCTGGCTGTCTCCCTGACGCAGGCATGTGCTCGCACACCTCCACGGTGGCGATCCCGCCCCCTTAGTAGCGTCCTTAGCTCGGTACTTCTTGCGGGGAAGTTCCTCTTGGCCCAGACACTCTTCCTAGGCCCCGCGTGGTGGGGGAAGCGAAAGGGGCAGTGTGGGGAAGTGGCTGAGGGGTTGGGTCCCGGGTGGTCTGCAGAGAGGCAGGCGGCGGTGCGGAGCCGGGAACCACGCACTCACCCGCCGAGTCCGACGGGCCCGGCCGGGGTGGGCGAGGCACTGGGAACAGCCGCCAGCTCTAGAGGGCGTGAGGCGGGGCGCACGGGGAGGGAGTGCGGCTAACGCGCGCGTGCGCGGTTCATGTGTGGGCCCGCGGGGGCGCGCGCGCGGTTAGCGGGCAGCGAGGGTCGCCTGGGCGGTGCGCAGCACGGCGGGAACATGGCGCGCGGAACTGGCGCGCGCGCCTAGCTGGCGGGACCGTTAGATCGAGGCGGACGCGGCCTGGACCCCGTGGATATGGAGCAGTCGCCGCCGCTGGCGCCGGAGCCCACCCAAGGGCCAACCACCGCAAGGAGCTGAAGGCGGCGGGAGCCCGAGTCGCCGCCGGCGTCGGTGCCGGTGAGTGCGTGAGGGGCTCGGGCCCGGAGACTTTCTTTGTGAAACTCCGGCGGTGGGAGCCAGGCCGGGCCTGAGACTGAGGAGCGCCTGTGAGGCGGAAGGCGTCTCGCAGTCCGGGTTCGATCCCAGCTGCGAGCCGTCAGGCGGCGGGACCTGGTCCAACGCCTGCCTGCCTCAGTTTCCGCTAGAGTGTGGGTGTATGAGGGTGTGT
The DNA here is from genome assembly GCF_000001405.40 of Homo sapiens. Taxonomy (NCBI): domain Eukaryota; kingdom Metazoa; phylum Chordata; class Mammalia; order Primates; family Hominidae; genus Homo; species Homo sapiens. Next base: position 1,816,660 of record NT_187383.1, on the reverse strand, counting down.
ATGGGTGTTGGCCTGCGCACACCGGAGAGGGGTTGTCGGTATACAGTCAGCGCCTAATGCTCGCGGCGCCTCCCCCACTCTCCCCAGTCCCCGTGGGGCGGAACCTGGGGACTGGAGTCCACTGGAGCAGTAGGCGGCACCCGCGGGGAGACAGGTGTCGGCGCAGCCCGGGAGGCTCAGGTGCTACCTTTCCTGGGTGGGGTTTGTGAGGAGGGAGCTCTTCGTCCCCGGAGGTGAGCAAGTCTGTCGGTGGCTCATCACAGAGTGCTGTTTTGGAAAGCGTTCCACCCACCTCAGCTTCCTGCTGTGTTTAGGCCACTAGTCAGGGGGAAGGATGCTGAGCGACATGGACTTTAGAGGTGGGGCTCCTGCTGGAACGGATGGCTCTGGGCTCTCGAGCTAACCCCCACCCTTTCCTCCCAAACCCGTTAGAGCGTAGGAATCATTGGGAGCACCTGATAAAAATGCCACGGATTGTGGCTCACCTAAGCAGGGAAGCCGATTTGGAACTTAAACAAGCTCCCAAGTTGTGATCAGTCGAGCTTGGCAAGCACTGTTTGAGAGAGTAGGCTTCCCGCAAGCAGGAGCCGGTTTTGTGTATACCTCACCATGGCATCTTGGTACCTGGCATGGTGCCTGGCACACGGTAGATGATCAGAAAATATCTGTAGAAAGTCTAAATTATTAGGGAGAGTGCAGCATAGGAGTTCTTGAAACATTTTCAGGAGCTTCCTGAGATTAATATCTGTCAGATTTGTTTTACAGTATATGATTTTTCTCAGCTCCCAACTTTTGTGATTGTTTTAATGCCATGTTTTCAGTATGTTCTAGGCAAAAGCAGGGTATATGTTGCTTAGTATACACTATCCACTAGGCCGATTGCGGTGGCTCACTCCTGTAATCTCAGCACTTTGGGAGGCAGATTGCTTGAGCCCAGGGGCTTGAGGCTGTAGTGAGCCAAGGACTTAGAGACCAGTGTGGGAAACATAGCGAGGTTCGTCTCCGCAAAAATTAGCTGGGTGTGGTAGCGTGCACTTGAAGTCCCAGCTACTCCGGAGGCTGAGGTGGGAGGATTGCTTGAGCTCAGGACGTACAAGTTGCAGTGAGCCAACTTGTGCCACTGCATTCCATCCTGGATAACACAGTGAAACCCAGTCTCCTAAATAAGTAAATAAATACATAAACGATTATGTATACTCCAGCTAGATTAAAATTAATTCTGAATCAAAATTCTAAATTAAAATATGCATGTGTCTTTCTCTTCATCATTTGAGAACACTAGGCTTTTAGGATTTCATTCTGTTGAGGCAGGTAAATATCAACATTTTTGACAAAGCAAATATGAATTACTGTTAATTCGAGAAAGGTGGGAATTTGCTTAAACCTGAGTATTTGTAGTCTGTGATTTTTTTAAATTTTAAATTTAAATTTTTCTTTTTTTTTCTTTTTTTTTGAGATGGAGTCTCACTCTGTCGTCCAGGCTGGAGTGCAGTAGCACAATCTCAGGTCACTACAACCTCCACCTCCCGAATTCAAACGATTCCCCTGCCTCAGCCTCTGGTGTAGCTGGCATTACAAGTGTGTGCCACCACGCCCAGCTAATTTATGTATTTTTAGTAGAGAGGAGGTTTCACTGTGTTGCCCAGGCTGGTCCCAAACTCCTTGACCTCAAGTGATCTGCCCACCTTGGCCTCCCAAAGTGCTGGGATTACAGGCGTGAACCACGGCACCTGGCCTTATTTTTATTTTTTTGAGACAGACTCAGTCTGTCGCCCAGGTTGGAGTGCTGTGGCATGATCTCCACTCACTGCAACCTCCACCTCCCAGATTCCAGCGATTCTAATTCCTCGGCCTCCTGAGTAGCTGGGGTTACTAGACCCGGGTAATTTTTGTTGTATTTTTTTCGTAGAGACTGGGTTTCCCTATGTTGGCCAGGCTGCTCTGGAACTCCTGGCCTCTAGTGATCCACCTGCCTCGTCCTCCCAAAGTGCTGGAATTACAGGCATGAGCCACTGCCCCCAGCCAATCTTTGTGATATTTTGAAATTGACGTTTATATTTTGTTCAGAGTCAAAGCTAAAATAGAATTGTTTGAAAATTAATATTTCAGGAACTATTTTTTAATTAAGTCGAATTTTATTTTATTTCATTTCAGTAGGGTTTTAACTTAAAAATATATATATACATATATATGTATATGTGTGTGTGTGTGTATATATATATATATATATATATATATATATATATATATATATTTTTTTTTTTTTTTTTTTTTTTTTTTTTTCCTGAGACAGAGTCTTGCTCTGTCACCCAGGCTGGAGTGCATTGGCATGATCTTGGACTCACTGCAGCCTCCACCCTCCTGGCTCAAGCAATTCTCCTGCCTTAGCCTCCCAAGTAGCTGGGACTACAGGTGCCCACCACCACATCTGGCTAATTTTTATATTTTTAGTAGAGATGAGGTTTCACCATGTATTCCAGGCTGGTTTTGAACTCCTGATCTCAAATGATCTGCCCTCCTTGGCCTCCCAAAGTGCTGGGATTACAGGCGTGAGCCCCCGTGCCTGGCCTAAAAAATATTTTTAAAGACAGGATCTAGCTATGTTGCCTCAGCTGGTCTTGAACTCCCAGTCTTGGCCTCAAGTGATCCTTCTTCCTCAGCCTTCTGAGTAGCTGGAAGCACAGCTGTGAGCCAGCACACATGGCATTTTTTTATTTCTAATAAAAAAATTAATAGAGTTTCTTGTTTCACTGGACAAAATATGCATATATAGGAAGGAAAGACTTTTTGACTTGAGATTGCGCTGAAGAAGAAAAATGGAAAAATTAGGCATTTTAGTCTCTCAGTGTGTTATTTTTGTAGGTTATACAGATGTCTTTTTAAAGTTTCTTTAGAAAGCTTTATTGAGATAAAGATAAATGAGATAAATTCACCTACCATGAAATCAACCCCTTGAGTGCAGAATTTTATGGTTTATAATATGTTCACAGAATCACACAAACAAGACAGGTGTCTAGATACTTTCAGACCATTTTCATCAGTCCACAAGAAATCCCACACCCATTAGCAGTCATCCTTATTCCCTTTTCCCCTCGTCCCTGGCAATAACTAGCTTACTTTCTGTCTCTGAGTTTAGCTCTTCTGGAGATTTCACAGAATGAAATCTTACTACATATGGTCTTTTGTGATTGACTTATTTCACTTGGCACAGTGTTTTCAAGGTTTATCCATGCTGTTGCGTATATCAGCACTTCACTCTTTTCTAATGCTGAGTAATCTTTTGAATGGATATACCATATTTTATCAGTTCCTCTGTTGATAGGCACTTGAGTTTTTTTTCCAATTTTTGGCTATTATGAACAATGCTGCTATGAACATTTGTGTACAAATTTTAGTGTGGATGTATATTTTCATTTCCCTTGGGTATAGCCCTAAGGAATAGACTATCTGGGTCATCTTATAATTGTTTAAGAATACAGGCACATGCAACCACACCTGGCAAATATTTAAATTTTTTTGTAGATAAAGGGTCTCGCTATGTTGCCCAGGCTGATATTGAACTCCTGGCCTCAAGAGATCCTCTCACCTCAGACTCCCAGAAAATGTTAGCATTACAGATGTGAGTCACTGCACCTATAAAAGAGGCTCATACCTCTTTTTACATATTTTTTTAAGACAGGGTTTCACTCTGTTGCCCAGGCTGGAGTGCATTGGTGGGATCACAGCTCACTGCAGCCTGGACCTCCCTCCATATGATTCTAGCTGTGGGTGTCTTTCCTGTAGTTTTTATTATGTTGCGGTATGTTTCTTCTGTACCCGTTTCTTTGAGGATTAATAGCATGAAGGGATGTTGAATTTCATCAAATGCTTTTTCAGTTTCAGTTGACATGATCATACTGTTTTTGTCATTTATTTAGTTGATATGATGCATCACATTGTATGTTGAGTGACCCTTGCATCCCAGGGATACATTCCACTTGATCATGATGAATTATCTTTTTAATGTTTTACTGAATTTGATTCACTGGTATTTCGTTGAGGATTTTTGCATCAATATTAGAGATACTGGCCTGTAGTTTCCTTCTTTGATGCCTTTGTCTGATTTTGGTATCACAGTAATAATGGTCTCATAGAATACGTTTGGAAGTATTCCCTCCTGTTTTTCAAAATAGTTTGAGTAGGATTCGTACGAGGTCTTTAAATTGTTTGGTGTGAAGCCATCAGCAGTGAAGACATCAGTTCCTGGGCTTTTCTTTACTGGGAGACTTTTTCTGATGGCTTCAATCTCATTACTTGTTACCAATCTGTTCTGGTCTTGGATATTTTCATTATTCAACCTAAGTAGGTTTTATGCATCTAGGAATTTGCCAATTTCTACTAGGCTTTCCAATTTATTGGCATGTAATAGCCAGTTATGATCCTTTGAATTTCTGAAGTTATTAGTTGTAGTGTCTCCTTTTTTTTAATCTGTTGATTTTATTTGAATCTTGTCTCTTTTTTCTTAGTTAGCCTGGTTAAAAGTTTGTCAATTTTGTTTAGCTTTCCAGAAAACCAACTTTTCATTTAATCTTGTGTGTTTCTTATTTCAATTTTATTTCTGCTACAATCTTAGTTATTTTCTTAATTTCGGTTTAGTTTGTTCTTACTTTACTAGTTCTTTAAGATGTATTGTTTATTTGAAGTTTTTCTTTTGTTTGGATGGTAGGCACTTATAGCTGTAAATCTCTGCCTTTGTACTGTTTTCTGCGTAACAAGTTTTGGTATACTGTGTTTTCATTACCCTTTGTTTCATGAAATTTTTGAATTTCTGTCTTAGTATCTTCATTGACCCGCTAGTCATTTATTCAGGAGGGTAGTGTTTAACTTCCATGTGATTGTATTGTTTCCAAAATTACTCTTCTTACTGATACCTAGTTTTATTCCTTTGTAGTCAAAGAAGATGGCCAGGGAGACAGCAGCATGGTCAGAGTGGTAGGAGCTGGCCATCAGTGAGAGCTGCTCCGTGCCTGGCTGCTGGGTGCTAGAGCCTGTGGACCACTGGTTTGCCTCACTGGTTGGTGGTGGCGGTGACAGAGTGTGCAGCACGACCAGAGTGGTAGGACGGGGGCTATCCAGGGCTGCACCTTTCGCAGTGTGGGGTGGGTTGGGGGCGCTATGCAGGGTGTCGTTGCCTGCATTAGGGGTACTGGTTGGTAGCACTGTACAGGGCTGCACTTCCCACGGCAGGGAGGGTGGGTTATGGGCACTTTCTGGGGCTGCAATGCCCATGGAGGAGGACACGTTAGGGCACTATTGGGTATACGCTACTGGTGGCATTGGGGGACGGAGGTGGGGGGCGCTATTGAGGGCAGGACTAGCCGTGGAGGGGGGGCGAGTTTGGTGCTATCAGTGGCTGCACTGCTGGTGGCGGTCAGGAGAGTTGGCATCCAAGGAAGGAGTGGTTCTCCTCTCCCTGACTCCACATTCCAGAGGGCGACCCACTCTTGGTCATACTGGAGTGCAGCAGGCATGCAGCGTTTGCGTTGGAATCCTGAGCATGGCAGAACCCCCACACCCACCGTGGTTCCTGGGCCTGTGCACTCTGGGTCTGTGCCTCAGAGGCTGCCAGGCACCCCTGGGGACACCACGGGGGACAGGGCCCTGTGCGTGGAGGCGTCCGGAACAGGAATTGGCACCTAGGTGCGGAGGGTTGGCTGGGTCTGAATTTTTCTGCTTCTCCTGCTCCCCGAGGAGTGCAGCCCCAGTGGGCCCAATGATTCCTGTGGAGTGGGGAGCTGGGTGCTGTGGTATCTCCAGCACCCACCCCAGACCCCAGTTCCGGGCCAGCTTGGGCCAAAAGGAGAGGCTGGACTTTGGAGGGTGGGTGAGAGTGCCTTTGCTGAAACTGGCCCCTGCCACCCAGTGGCCAGCATGACAAGTTGAGGCTCTAACCCTTCCGCCCCTCACATCTTCCTCTAGGCTTTTCTGGCTTTGCCCGCCCAGCTGCTCCATGCCAGGAGGAGGAGGAGACACCTAGAGCCTGCGACACCGTGGCTCGCCTCGCTGCAGGTGGGTGGCAGCAACGGAGACTGCAGTGCGCCAGAGCGGTAGGAGAGCGGCCACACTAGGAGGGCAGGCGGCTGCAGCCAGGGTTGGGGGTCAGGCTTGCAGTGATGGACGGGCTGCAGCAGTGGCCAGGTGGTAGGAGCCTTGTAGGGAGGACTGGTGCATTGGCAATGGGCCTGGCTTTGTCCTGCCCCTGCCACGGATCTGGCCCTGTACTGCCCTGCCTTGCCCTGTACCTGCCCTACTGTTACCTGGACTGTCTCGGCCCTGTCCTGCTCTGGTCCCATCCTGACCCTGTCTTGGCCCTGTGATACCCTGTCCCTGCCCTGGTCTTGCCCTGAAACTGGCCCTGCCCTGAACCTGCACTGGCCTGACCTTGGCTCTGGCCCTGGCTCTGGCCCTGCCCCTTGTCCTGACCCTTGTCCTGTCGTGGCACTGGCCCTGCCAATGGTCATGGTCCTGCTCCTGTTCTGGCCCTGACCTGGCCTTGGACATGTCCTGGCCCTGCTTTGGCCCATTCCTGCCCTGGCCCCACCATGGGCCTGCCTGTTCTGCCCTCTCCTGGCACTGACCTTGCCCTGTCATGGCCCAGTGGTGCCATTGCCCTGCCTTACCCAATGGTTGTGCCTTGGCCCCGCTTGGTGCTGGCCGCTCCCTGGACCTGCCCTGACCCTGCCTTGGCTTTTGCCCTGCCCTCACTATGGCCTGTCCCTGGCCCTAGCCCTGGTCCTGGCATATCCCTGGCCCTACCCTTATCCAGGCCCTGCCCCTGCTGCTGCCCTGGCCCTGGCCTGGAACCTGGTCCTGTCAAGGACCTGACCTGACTCTGCCATGGCCCTGGCCCTGCTCTGCCTTGTTCCTGGCCCTGACCCAGACCCAGACCCTTTCCTGGCCCTGCACTGGCCTTTCCCTGGCCCTGAGCTGACAGTGGTCTGCCCCTGGTCTTGCCATCACCCTGCCCTGCTGTGCTCTGGATGTGTCATCATGCTGCCCTGGCCCTACTCTGCCTTTGACCCTGCCCTGGTCTTACCTTAGCCCTCACCCTAGTCCTTGCTAGGCCCTGCTGCTATTTCCCTGCCCTACCCTGCCTTGGCTGTGCCCTGGCTCGATTCTGGCCCTGGACCCGGCCCTGCCCTGGATATGCTCTGACACTTCCTCAGCCTTGACACTAGCCTGGCTTTTTCTTGGCATCAGCCCTGCTCTCTCTGTGGACCGGCTCTTGTCCTGTCCTGCACTGGTCATACCATGCCCTGCCCTGCCCTGCCCTGACTCTGGCCTGGCTCAGCCCTGGCCCAGCCTTGGCCTTGGCATTGCCCCTGGTCCTGCCATATTTCTTGCCCTGTCCCTACCCCGGCCTTGGCCCTGACCCTTACCTTGCTCTGGCCCTGCCCTTGCCCTAACGCAGCCCCTGACCCTGTCATGGCCCTGCCCTGGACCTGTCCTGGCCCTGGCCCTGGCCCTTCCCTGCTTGAGACCTTGTCCTGGTTCTCCCCTGGCCCTGACCCTGAAATGACTGGCCCTACCCTGGCCTTGCACTGCTCTGGCCCTTGCTCTGACTCTGGTCCTGTCACTGGCCTAGCCCCAGCCCTGTTGCTGGTCTTACCATGGCCCAGACCCTGCCTTGGCCCTGCCCTGACACTGTCCTGGACCCTGGCTGTGCCAAGATCCTGCACTGTCCTTGCTCTTGTTTTGCTCCTGCCCCAAACCTGGTCCTGCCCAGGCCATGGCCATGGCCCTGGCCCTGGCCCTGCCCTGGCTGTTCCCTGGCCCTGCCCAGGTCTTGGCACTGGCCTGGCCCTGCCCTGCCTTGGCCCTATGCTTTCCTGGCCCTGCCTTCTGGCCCTGTCCCTGCCTTGGCCCTAGCCTGGCTTTGACCCTGCCCTGGCCCTACCTTGACCTTCACCCTAGCCTTACCTGGGCACTGTGTTGGACCTGGCCATAGCACAGACCTGCTTGTGGCCCTGGCCCTGCCATGGCCCTGTCCCAGATGCTAGCCCTGCTGTGGGCCTGGCTTTGTCCCTGGTTCTTAGATGAACCTGGCCCTGCCCTGCCCTTGCCCTTGCCCTGGCACTGGCCTTGGAAATGTCCGTGGTCCTAACCCTGGCCCTGCCCTGGAGCTGCCACTATCTTGGCCCTGCCCTGGCTCTGGCCCTGCCCTGGACCTGGCCCTGCCACAGCCCCAGCCATAGACCTGCCCTGGTTGGTCGTGCCCTACCTTAACCCTGTGCTACCCTGGGCCTGCTCCACCCTGCCCTGGCCCTGCCCTCCCTTTGGCCCTGCCCTGACCCTACCTTGGCTCTCACACTGGCCCTAGCACAGATCTGGTCCTATCTGTGGCCTTGGCCTGACATTGACCCCTGCTCCTGACCCTGGTCCTGCCATGGCCCTTGCCCTGCCAATGACCCTGACAGCTCTGGCCCTGGCCCTGTCTTGGCCCTGGCCCTGAACTGGTGCTGCCCTGACCCTGGCCCTGAAGTGGATTTGCAGGTGTCTTGTCCCTGAGTTAACCTGGCCCGACCACAGCCTTGTCCCTCTCCTGGCTCTGTCCTGGTCTTGTGCTGACCCTGACCCAGAACTTGGCCCTGCCCCAGCCTTGTCCTAGACCTGGCCATAGCCCTGCCTCTGCCCTAGACCGGCACTGGCACTGGCATGGACCCTGGCCCTGGCCCTTCAATACTTAAGGCCATACACTGACCCAGCCCTGGTCCTGACCCTGTCCTGGCCCTAATTTGGCCTGGCTCTCCCCTGGCATGCTATTCTGGCCCTAGCCCTGACCCTCTCCCTGTCCCTGTCCTGGCCCTAGCCCCGTTCCTGGTCCTGCCATGGCCCTTGTCCTGACATTGCCCTTTCCAGGTCCTGGCCCTGGCCCTGTCCCAGGCCTGCTCTGGCCCTGGTCTGAACCCTGGCCCTGCAATGGACCTGCCTTGGTCCTGCCCAGACCCTGGCTCTGGCCCTACCTCTGCCCTGGCCATACCGTTGCCCTGGCCTGGACCCCGGTCCTCATCCTTGTCCTGCCCCAGCCGTGGCCCTGACCCTGCCCCGCCTGTGCCCTGCCATGGCTGGCCCTGCCATTGCCCTGCCCTAGCCTGCCCTGCTTGTGCCCTAGATCTGCCCCGGCCTTTGCCCCATCTTGGTTCTAGCCTTGAAAACAAAAAAAAAGGAAAAGAAGCATTTTGTATTCTCTTTTAGAAAGGGTAGATGACTGGAAAAGTATTAATAATGAAAATAACCAAAAATTGGACTTATAAATTATAAACTATGTAATTATAACTATTAGTATTTGAAAATATATGCAGATCTACAATTCTTCATGTGGAAATACAAAATTCAACAGTTATGAATACCTAAACCTAAGTTTTGGAAAATCTGATCTATGCTGATGTAGGGGCATTTATAGTTTTTTTTTTTTTTTTTTTTTTTTTTTTTTTAAAACAGAGTTTTTGCTCTTGCCCAGGCTGGAGTGCAATGGCATGATCTTGGCTCACTGCAACGTCCAATTCTTGGTTTCAAGTAATTCTCTTGCCTCAGCCTCCCGTGTAGCTGGGATGACAGGCACCTGCCCACACCCAGCTAATTTTTTTTTTTTTTTTTTTGATACGGAGTCTTGCTCTGTCACCCAGGCTGGAGTGCAGTGGCTCAATCTTGGCTCACTGCAAGCTACACCTCCTGGGTTCACGCCATTCATTCTCCTGCCTCAGCCTCCCGAGTAGCTGGGACTACATGTGCCTGCCACCATGCCCAGCTAATTTTTTGTATTTTTAGTAGAGACAGAGTTTCACTGTGTTAGCCAGGATGGTCTCGATCTTCTGACCTTGTGATCCACCCACCTTAACCTCACCAAGTGCTAGGATTACAGGTGTGAGCCACCGCACCCGACCAGGGGTATTTATAGTCTTATTGATCCCAGTTCATGTGATTATTCATATGATTTGCCACTAGAGTTATTCCATAATAGGCAGAATATTTACCACATTACCTTTCTAAAATCTAAATATTTTTGGATTGTAATTTCAAAGAATCTGACTTGGAAATCTTATTTTGAAATCTGATCCTAAGGAATTCGGATAAGCTATTGGAAAATATCACAAATGACAAAAATTTTGCGTTAAGATAAAATTGTTGATAAATTTAAATCACTTTGCAGCCGAGCATGGTGGTTCACACCTGTAATCTCAGCACATTGGGAGGCCGAGGCGGGTGGATCATGAGGTCAAGAGATCGAGACAATCCTGGCCAACATGGTGAAACCCCATCTCTACTAAAAATACAAAAAATTAGCCGGGTGTGGTGCTGCGTGCCTGTAGTCCCAGCTACTGGAGAGGCTGAAGCAGGAGAATTGCTTGAACCCAGGAGGCAAAGGTTGCAGCAAGCTGAGATCGCACCACTGCACTCCAGCCTGGTGATAGACCGAGACTCCATCTCAAAAAAACAACAAAAAAAATTAAATTACTTTGTATATATAAGGGTCTAATTTTTTAAAAAATTGTAAAATATCCTATACGTTCATTAGTATTACTTATTTGTTTTTATCACTCCATCAATGTGAGGCGTAAATAAAATTTGTTAAGTTAAAACTTTCGGTGTACTTTCATTCATTTATTTATTTATTTTGAGACAGTTTCGCTCTATCATCCAGGCTGGAGTATAGTGGCATGATCTCGGCTCACTGCAACCTCCGCCTCCAAGGCTCAAGTGATTCTCGTGCCTCAGCCTTCCAAGTAGCTGGGACTACAGGCATGCGCCACCATGCCTGGCTAATTTTTAAAAGTCCTATATCATATAAGAACATTAGAGTTCTGGGATTATTTTTTGTTTGTTTAAGAGACAGGGTCTCACTGTATTACGCAGGCTGGGGTGCAGTGATGTGATCATAGCTCACTGTAGCCTGGAACTCCTGAGCAAAGCAATTCTCCCTCCTCAGCCTCCCCAGTAGCTGGGACTACAGGTGCTTGCCACAATGCCCAGCTAGTTTTTAAATTTTCTGTAGAGATAGGTCTCACTGTGTTGCCTAGTCTGGTTTCAAACTCCTGGCCTCAAGGGATCCTCCCCACTTGGCTTCCCAAAGTGCTAGGATTACAGGTGTAAGTGACCATGCCGGGACAAGAACATGAGACTTCTCTTACCATTTTTTTATATCTAGGTGGAATAGCATAGTATTATGTGTCAGTGTTGAATTATTTTAAAATATTATGCACTGAAACATGGTAATAATCTGGGTCAGTTTCTATCTTGACCTAGGTTTAAACATATTAGCTAACATGAGGGGCCCAAAATTAATAATGATTCCATACCATCTCCTTGTTTATTTATTCATTGAGACAGAGTTTTGATCTCTCACAAAGGTTGGAGTGCAGTAGCACCATCTTGGCTCACTAGAACCTCCACCTCCTGTGTTCAAGTGATTATCCTGCCTTAGCCTCCTGAGTAGCTAGGATTACGCCCACCACCACAACCAGCTAACTTTTGTATTTTTAGTACAGATAAAGTTTCACCAGGTTGGCCAGGTTGGTCTTGAACTCCTGATCTCAAGTGATCCGCGGCCTTGGCCTCCCAAAGTGTTGTCATTATAGGCGTGAGCCACTGCCTCCAGCCACCATCTCCTTTCATTAAAAATATGTGAGCTGAAAATAATTTGAGGGCAGTTATTTTCATATAGTCATTTTATCAAACAGGGATTATATTAATGACTAGTATTAATATTTATTTTATCTAAAATTATGTCTGATTTTTCTAAATTCTCTGACTTGTTAATAATGTTAAACATTAGGTTTAATACATATAATTAGGTCTGTGTGGATGCACTATGTAAATAAAATTGTTTTTAACATTTTGTAAGGTCTGCTGCTTTACAAGTCTTATTATCTTTGCTCCATTTTTGATACCAAAATTTTAACTGTGATAATTAGGCTAGAGATAGCAAATCAAGGGTATGTTTATATAATCACTCTCAAGGATCTCAAGGGTCATTTTCTGGTTACATTATGAAAATTGTAAAAGGAATCAAGTATATATTCCAGATAATAGCTCTTGATAAATCATATACATCTATATAATAGCTATAGATATAGTTTAAGATTTAGATCTAGATATATTCAGCAACTTTGTAATTTATCAAAAGGTTTTGGTTAAAATGTAAGACATTCCTCAATATAGAATTAGTTCTAAAAATTTGTTGCAATGAAGAATGTTAACAACTTACCTTCCTGTTTTCTCTGAATATGAAACAATTCAAGATAGACATAGAAATAAAGCATAATGAACTTTGGGAGGCCGAGGCAGGTGGATCATGAGCTCAGGAGATCGAGACCATTCTGGCTAACACGGTGAAACCCCGTCTCTAATAAAAATATACAAAATTAGCTGGGCGTGGTGGTGGGCGCCTGTAGTCCCAGCTACTTCGGAGGCTGAGGCAGGAGAATGGCGTGAACCAGGTAGGCGGAGCTCGCAGTGAGCCGAGATTGCGCCATGGCACTCCAGCCTGGGCTGCAGAGCCAGACTCCATCTCAAAACAACAACAACAACAACAAAAAAAAACAGAAGTAAAGCATAATGAAATAAACATGTGAGCTCTGTAGCTCATGGTGTTGTTGGCGTGGTGCTTAGCAACAGGGATTTTCCTACACTACACTCCAGTACAGGGCACAGAGCAGAAACTTTATTGCTAAATTTACCGCATAGCAGAGGCAGAACAGAATTCATTTTCACTGCAGGCTGGGACATCCTAAAGACAAAAAACATGGAATGGGTGATATGAGCTACCCTAGTTTATTTCTTTCTTCCAATATCTCCAGTCACCTCCACTATTGATCTAGTGAAAACAGGCGCAGGAACAGTGCTCTAAACGACATTCGATGTCCTTCAATATCTTTGTCAGTCTGAATTCAAAGGAAATATTTTAACTCAAGTAAAAAGAAGACTACAAAAGAAAGATAACCCATATGGGGATAGCAGAATTTTTTGTTTTTGTTGTTGTTTTAAAATCTCTTGTTTTTGGCCACAGGCACTCTGAGCTAGAAGAAAATATTTAGGAGAAGGATGAGAAATCCTTCTGTGTTGAATAAGGGAATTACTTCCAGATGGCAATGGTGTAAATCTACTATGATAACAACTATATATATATATATAATGAAATATGTTTATAGAAAATGTCTGGAATCTTTTTATAGTCTAGAGTCCTTCTCAATGGCCTTAATTTGCAAAAATAGCCTCAAATTATTTTATTTAATTAAAAACTGCAAGAGATTAACATTTTCTCCTCATAAGGTCCAGTCAAGTATTTTTCTTTTGAATGAAGAAAAAAATACATTGCCTGTAAAAAATTAATTCTTTGATTTAGTAGTTAGCAGTGAACAGTTGATATGGTTTGGATGTTTTATCCCCTCCAAATCTCATATTAAAATGTGACCTGTATTGTCGGATGTGAGGCCTAGTGGGAGGTATTAGGTCATGGGGGCAAATCCCTCATGAATGGTTTGGTTCCCTCCCTTGGGTAATAAGTGGTAAAGAGTTTACAGGAGATCTAGTTGTTTAAGAGTGTGGCACCTTCCCTCTCTCTCTCTTGCTCCCTCTCTTGCCCTATGACATGCTGGCTCCCCTTCAAATTCTGCCATGATTGTAATCTTCCTGAGGCCCTCACCACAAGCAGATGCTGACACTATGCATTGTGTACAATCTGCAGAACCAAGGGCCAAATAAATCTATTTTCTTTATAAATGACCCAGTCTTAGTTATTTGTTTTACAACAACACAAACACACTAACACACTGGTGAAAATCAACTTAAATACTTAAATACAGATAATATAAATTTAAAATGCAATCTAAGAGTTGTAAAATTTATATTTCCCCTTCAAAAATTAGCATTCTAAATTATCTCCTTACTATTTGTTTTGCTTTATACACTTCCAACTTCCTATGCTCAAGTTTTCAGAAGACATTGAAGAACATCACATCATTAGAGAGAAGAAAAGGAAAAATTGGCTACAAAAATTAACCATACAGTGTATTGAATTAATAGAGTTTTGCTGAACAATTTTTGTTAATGGAGTTTATATTTTTAGGTATAAATATTTTTCTACATGATATATTTAGACAAAGTTTTTTTTAAATATAGGATATTTGCAGCAAACGGTCCAAAGGATCCCAATTATTAAACAAAACACAAATATAAATTGATTACAGTATATCAAATATGCCTTAATAATTAGGTAGCTATAAAAAGTAGAGTTACAAGATTGAGAGGTACTTTGTCTTCTGTGAAGGCTTTAAAAACATGAAGCTACATTTCCCACCATCAAAGATTTATGTGTAAGAGATTTGTCTTCATTTTGTTTTAATTAGATGAAACGATTTGCCCATGGGGCATCTAAACTCAGAATGAGTTTGACATCACAACACAGTTTATATTCTCTCAGGAAAAATGAAAGGAAACTAAAGGATTTTATTTTTCAGACATCAAATCACAAAACAAAACAGTCCAATTTTCTTTGGGTTCTCAGTTGTACATTTATGTCTTCAGGGTTTTAAAAAACCACACCGTTTTGCATGCTTAAAAATAAAAGATTCGGTTCAAGAGTTCATCTTTGTAACATCTTTTCAATTTTTCTTTAAATCTCTAGGTCTAAAACTTTGCTAAATAAAAAATATTTAGCGAGAAACAAGTTTACATGTGTTGCTTGCTGAAAGAAACTGCTAAAGGGAATGCATTAAGATATGGAACACAATTATGCAAAGTAAATACTCAGTTGAACATGCCAGATGTTTCCTAAATTTAAATTGTTAAATGGCCATCGTGGAAGAATCATTTTAGTTTTAAATTCTGTAATAAGCAAAATAACTTTCTTACATAAAAACATTTGTTCCTTTGTGTATGAACCAAATCAAATATCATATAAAAATTATACATAAGATATGAATCATATATAATGTAGCTTATCCAAACATATTTTAGATGAAACTGTCAGTATTTTTTATATTATCAACATAGAACTGTTTTAAGATAAATAAATCATTTATTCATTTTTCATCTCAATATTTTTATAAGAGATGACATAAGTTAGATGATTCAGCTAATCTACACTGAAAGCAGTGGATAAGTCAATTACAATTTTTGCTCAAATATGGAAAAAGTCTGACTGATTATAATCAAAATCATTAACTGTCATTTACTTTTCCTGAAAGCTCTTTAATATAAAATCTAGACATAAAGAAACTAATTTATCCTCTTAAGTGCTATAAACATTTTCTCTCATTTCATTTTTTTTTTTAGTTGTCAATTTTGATAGTGTTCAACTAGAAGTCACGAATAGGCAATCCACTAACATAGGTTCACAGTTCTCATATATTTTTGAAACATTGAAATCAACCTGTCCCCAACTCCATTCCAGAGGCTAATGTCGAAATACCTGCTGAAAGCAATGCCAAGCCAATATCTCTGAAATATAAAGTTGGCTATTATAATTCTCTTCATGATTATATTTTTATGTATATATGAGAGACAGAGCAAACATTACACATGAAAAATAATACATTTTACTTAAAAACATGTTAAGGTCTCCTGGGTGTGGTGGCTCATGCCTGCAATCCCAGCACTTTGGGAGGCCGAGGCAGATGGATCACGAGGTCAGGAGATTGAGACCATCCTGGCTAATATGGTGAAACCCTGTCTCTACTAAAAACACAAAAAAATTAGCCGAGAGTGGTGGTGGACGCCTGTAGTCCCAGCTACTTGGGAGACTGAGGCAGGAGAATGGCATGAACCCAGGAGGCAGAGCTTGCAGTGAGCCGAGATCGTGCCACTGCACTCCAGCCTGGGCGACAGAGCAAGATGCCATCTCAAAACAAGCAAACAAATAAAACATGTTAAGGTCTATAAGGTCTACAACTTAGTCATTTCTTAACTATACGACCTTGGGTGGGCCACTTACTTAGTTTCTCATTACTTTGGTTTTCTTTCTTGAAAAGTGAAGAATTGTTTTCTTCACAGTTATAATTGTTTTCTGAAAATGTAAAACACTAGAAACATTGCCTGGCATTGAGTAAATTATTAGTTTTTATTATTAGTACTGATTCATATTTTTCCTACTTAAAATTAGATAACGACTCCTCATATTCTGCATGATTTTATAGGATATAAGTTTAAATACAAATCAAGACATATTTGAAATAATGTTCTATACATTCAACCTCAGATTTATTCGATGAAACCCCACATTTCTCTCTATTTGATAGCGTAGGTGACATTCACATCCTATTTTGCCTCATTATTGAACAGTGTCTTACCTAATTTTCTAGATGTCATAATTTATTTACTCTTGTCTCGTTTTCATGATGGTGTGTATACTGCATATTTTGAGACATAGTACATTTAATTGAGTTATTTTCTTGCTCAAAAAGAAAACTAGTTCCACCTCCATTGAATCTTCAGTTTAAACTTAGAATTTAAAAAAACTGTTCTATGGCAATGATCATAAACTAGCAAATTGGTATCTCATGGGTTGGATTAAGGCTGACTGACAGAATGACCTTGAAGGGCCATGTGTGTGCATGTTTACTCACCTTAAAATAAAAGAATTTTCTGTATGGATTTATTTTACTAAGATTAGTGAGCCTTTTAAAAGAGTCAGGTGCTTCTGATTCATCATATATGTCCCTGCCCAGTCTCTCTGTACTCACAAATCAGTCTGAGTGATGTAATATCATTTGAAGGTAGACTGTGATAAGTTAAAGCTGCATATTATGAACTATGAAGTAACTATAAAAATAAAAAGAGTTACACCTAAAACCTAATAAAGAAAAAAAGATCATAAAAATCAATATAAAGCAGAAAAAAATATGCATCAGAAAAGCATATGATAAAATAGAAAATAGTGAGATGTTAGACTTAAAACCAACAATACAATAAGTATTTTGGAAGAGTAGATGAAATATAAATTTGAGGCTACCAATTTTAAGTGGATTTTGAGGACAGTCACTGTATTCTTAAGAAAGTTCTATTAATTTTGCAAATACTTTGAGGGGTATAAAAATAGAGATATAATAAATTGTACACTAAAGACAATAAGTGATGATTAAGTACTTTAATTTATCACAGATGCTACGTATTTCCGAAATCCAGTAGAAATGTAATCAATTTGTTTGACAGAACTTCAGTCTTTCTATTAACAAGTCTTTCAGATCAAAATTAAAGAAAATCATATTGTATACTTGAGCGATGTCCTTTATAGAGTCTTCATCCTCGGTCATAGGCTCAATTGCACGTGTCTGGTAAGAATTATAAATAATAGGACAGTTATTTCAGTTAATATGTTCTGTTAATCTATTTCAATTCAGAAAAAACACCTATTTAGTTTTAGGATCTAATATATGTGAACAAATTTGGGAGGATTTCTTTAATAATCTATATGCATTCTTTGTTTTACATTCTTTCAAGCAAACATATGACATGGACAAATATGTGCAAACACAAAATCACTGCAGTATATTAGAGTGGAAATGCAACGGCAGCATTATTTTTCAGTAAGTTCAGTAAAATATTTGAGTCATGCTGAGTACAAAATACTTTGTTAAGGCTAATTAGGTTGCAGATTATAAAATGTATTGGTAATAAATAGTACCAATAAATTAGACTCACCTTTCTCAAAAGAAAGTGACTAATAATATTTTGTTGCTGAGTTAAACAGAATAAATGTCTAAGAACTTAGCCAGAAGGCTGAGATTTTAATTAGTTATTAAGGTGTTCAGGTTAATGTAAATCAGATTTGCCTTTCTAGATAAAGAATACAGATTGACAGTGGCATTAACATTGTCATTAAATCTTAAATAAACACTAATTTCCCAGTGCTTGCAAGAATCTGACCTGGAAAAAGATGAAAAAAAGGAGATACTATAGAGTTTTTTGTTAATTATCAAGCTTTTCCTTTGTGTTTTGTTTATCAGATATATAACGTTTGAAACTGAAGCTGATAATCAAATGAAATAGTTTTTAAAAACTACTTGTTGGAGTCAAATGACTACTCTTGGCTTTTCTTTCTTTTTTTCCATTTCCATTTATAATAGCCAAAAAAAGTTTCTTGTCACTGTTTCTAAATAACACCATGACCTCCTGCTCACAAATTAAAATGTATTGCAATTCTCTAAATAAGAACAATCTACCCTTTCTAAAATTTCAAATTAAATGTGCTTTATTTTTAGTATAGTGACCTACCCTGCATGTATAAATTAAATGTAAGAAACATTTTATGTTTAGTAGGCTTGAAAATGAGACTATTTTTCCCTTATTTTTTCTCCTTAAAACTTATTAATTCCTTTTTATATTCTAGATCTATAAATACTAAAATATTCTATCTATTAACTGCTCTAATCTTTATGTAACAGTGTAGGTTCTACCCATGTAACAGATGAGGAAACCAAGGAGCACAGTTATTTACTAACTCGCACAAGGCAAGTTTCAAAATTGTCTTTGAAAATAATGATTGCTTTTAAGGTTTATTCTATAATGGTTTAAGATCATGGGTTACAGAAGTAGAACAACAGTGTCTAATTACTAGTTCTAATAATTCTTATCGGATTTGTTGAGATTTTATACACATACATGTTTGTTTTTGTGTATAAGTATATATGTAACAATGTATTACACATATGAATTAACTGTTTAATATGTGTGAACTATTATATTCATTACTTGGCATTAATGTTTAGGTTGTTTCGATTTTACCCTCAAAATGTAATGACTTTTTGAGAGCCTATATCAAATTATTGGAAATACAAATGTATTTTTAAAGGGATTAGGGATTCTTAGTATTTGAATATGAATTGTGAAGATTAGTATTGAAAAAACTCTTGGTAACTTAGCAGGAGTAGCTGCAAAGGTGTTCCTTCTTTTCCTAAATGAATTATAAAGTATAAGAGTATTAAAGTCTACTTGTTTTTACTGCTAAATATATATATATATATATATATATATATATATGTAGAATTTGAAGCTTTAGTTCATCTAACTACGATTCCTCTCTCAGAGCCTTTCCTGAGGAAATTTTTTTTTTGGTGGAGAGACTGAGAACACGAGGTGCACAGTGACCAGCTAAAGGGAGAATGAGGCAGTTCCAAAATGAATTATAAAGTATACGAGTATTAAAGTCTACCTGTTTTTTATTGCTAAAGTTGTGTATATATATATATATATATATATATATATATATATATATATATATTTATGAAAATGTAGAATTTGAAGCTTTGGTTCATCTAACTGTGATTCCTCTACCAGAGCCTTTCGTGAGGAAATTTCTTACCCTGGGCCGTCTGTCCTGTGTGTCTGTCCTCCTTGTGATCAGTTATTTGCACAGTGGCTCTGACCTGGCAGCCCACCTCTGGGTCCCCACTTCCCCAGAACTTCCCAGTCTGCCTTCTCCTGCCAGACACCCTGAGGCAGCTGTGTCCCCCAGACATAGCCTGGATGGGTGTGCACCTGTCCCCACCACCGTCTGTCACCTCTGCTCCACACCTGACCAGTGGCCAGCACCACACTGGGGTTGACTGCCTTCACCGTGTCCATGCCTGCTCCGGCAGTGGGAGCTCAGTGCCAGGCTGTGGGGGGCATCTTGGAAAGCAGAGGTGTCCCCGCAGGATCTCTATGAGACTCTGTGTTGTCGGTGGCCGCGCTGGTTTCCCCGGAGTAGCGCCCGATGTCACTGCCGAGACCTTAATGGAAGGTGCGCGTCCAGTCCTCGCACTGCTGTGTGTTCTGGTCAGAATGGAAGTGGTGGCCTCCACTAGGAGCTTCTGTGCTTTGGGAGAATTTGTCCAAACCGTGGTCCCGTTTGTTCTCCAATCCTGTGTGGACACCATGACCCAGTTGTGTAAACACAGGCCCCTTGCAGCTCAGAGGCTGCCCTCTGAGAGTCACCGTCGTGTCGCTTTGGGGAAAAGATGAGCCCGCCCGGTTCCTCTCTGTGCACCTCATGCCTGGGGCTCCGTCCCGTCCTGGGTGGGTTTTCACCTGCACCGCTGGCCCCTCCCCCGGGAGTGTTGGTGGAGCCGGCTTTCTCAGCCAGGAGCCTGTTGCGGGGTCAGCGGCTGGAGCTCAAGGTCGGCTCAGGGGACTTTCTCGTGCTGGAGGTTGGCTGCGGAGCAGCCTGCATTTCTCGGAAAACAGGGCCCAGGGCCTGCTCCACGCCGCTGTCCACGTCTTCACCATCCCCTCGTTGCAGGTTTGAGGCCAAGCTCAGACCTGTGGAGCAGAAGCTGAGTGCGCTGCAGTCCCCGCTGGCCCAGAGGCCCTTCTTCGAGGTGCCCTCACCCCTGGGCGCCGTGGACCTGTACGAGTATGCATGCGGGGATGAGGACCTGGAGCCACTGTGACGCCACCCATGAGAAAGCCGCTGCGGGGCCGCTCCACACGTGCCACGGCCACCACTGGGACACCGCCGCTTGTGTAAAAACTGTTGTCTTTTGTGGAAAATGAGTGTGTTTGCATGGAATGATAAATTTTTATTTATTCACAGAAGCGTGTTGATTGCCGCTGTGGGTTCGTGGCTGGACCTGCCTAGAGCTCTGTGCCCAGGGGACACGTAGGGCCGCTCGTGAACAGGACAGGTTCCCACACTGACACCCTCCGGCACTTGCCGTTCCCGACTTGACCCGGCCTCAGTTCCGGGGCCTGCGTCTTTCTGGAAAGGGTCTGTGTGGGCACAAGGGTGACCGGCGGCTCCCGGGCGCCTTGCCAGTCCTAGACAGGAGTCTCCGCCATGGCCTGTATGAATGTTTTGTGTAAATGTACAAAAGCGTTTCTGGCGATCACACTTGTATTTTTGAATGAATGTTTGGAGGATTTTTCAGTCACGGGCTTGGCTCCCTCAGCCACAGCATGGCTCCTTTCAGAATTTACAAACGTCGGTGCTGGAGGGGGACCGCGGCCACGCCAGATGCATCGGGATGCAGGCTGGGCCTCTCTGAGGGGCGTCCTCCCCAGCCAGGGGGGCCCCACCCTTGGGCTGTTCCCTCCCAGAGCCACGGACCCAGGCCACATTCCACAAACAACCCCAGAAGGAAGGAGCCCTTGCCAGAGTGAGGACGTCCACACCTGGGAGCCACGTGCAGCGACACCTAAATGAGGGGGTTCGGAGGCCCCGCCAGGAGGAGCCCTGTGTGCAGGGGAGGCCACGAGCCCCCAGGTCCCCCAGGGGCACCCGACATGGATAAGCCCAGGCCCAGCTCTGTTCCCTCTGCAGGCAGGGGAGGGTCACAGGTGGTGACCATGGGAATGACCCCGTCCTCACACAAGACAAAATGCTCCCCCAGGAAAGGGAGGTGGCAGCATCTACAGGGCAGGGCACAGGTGGGCAGGGCGGCCCTGGGCACTTGGTGGGGAGGGCAGGGCCGGGCCGGGCCGGGACCACCCCAAGAGCAGCACACACGCCCCGTTAATCTACTGGCAGCTGTGGCTGTGAAGGAGGTAGATGCACAGGGTGGTCCCATGACCCCTGAGGAGAGACGGTGCGGGCTCCAGGCAGTGGGTAGACTGGCCGCACCTCCCAGGGAAATGGCTGCTGCCCCCAAGGTGTCCTCTGTCACCAGGTGCTCCCCTGAATTCCCGGATGCCCCCACCTGGGTCTGCGAAGGGTCAGGGTCCCCAACAACAGGACAGGTGCAGGGCCGGAGAGTCTGACTGTGGCTGCTGCAGGGAAGTGACACTGGGAGCCACGGCCTGCAGGGCCCACCCTGCCCCAAGCTCCGGGAAGCCCATCTGGGAGAGCATGTCTGCCCCACACCACCTCAGGACACCCCTCACACACACCTATGAGCTGGAGCCCATGGTCATGGGAGTGAGGGGCCAGAAGTGAGGGGTTCACCTCTGACTGGGACCCTCAGCTTCCCACACTGACACTAGGAGCCCCCCAATTGGGGTTCAAGGCTGAGACATCAGAAGCCTCCCTGGGGCTGTGAAACGAAAGACAGCGTCCCCCACCCACATCCCTGGTGAGGCTCCTGCACAGCCTGAGTGTCCTCCGACATCCCCATACCCACTGCATTCCCCAAGCACCCCGTCCTTCCCCAGCCACGGCCCCAGATGCTCTGGGCTGTGCCAGGGCCGGGCGTGCACACCCACACCTTTGCTGGAGAAGTGGGGGGTCCTCGTGGACGGCAGCGCTGTGGGGAGACCCAGAGCCCAGCGGTCGTGCCCTCCACGTGTTCTGGGGGTCCATTTCCCTGAGAGCTCATGTGTGAGGTGGGCCAGGGACCCCACAAGAAAAGCACCTGCATCACCCTCACCGTGGCCAGCGTCCAGCGTCCTGCTAGGACAGAAGCCAGGGTGTTCCAGGCAGAGGCGCCTCTGGCATCCCCACCTCACCCTCTGTGAATGACAACCTTGGGTCCCCGGCATTTCGTGGCCATCACCCCTTGGCGATCCCCACGCAGGGACCCAGCCCACCCCACCCCTCCCTCGCATGGTCCCTTCATGTCAGACCCAAGAGTGTTCACGGGTCCCTTCATGTCAGACCCAAGAGTGTTCACGGGGGCAGCCCCAGGTTCACCCAGAAGCAGCAGGAGCTCTGTTGCAGGACGACCATGAAAGGTGACAGCCACTCCATGGCAACGATGCCAGCCATGGCCCTGAGGTCCCCGGGCACATCCTTGTAGGACAGGACACAGCTCCTCAAGGTGCAGCAGGGGTGACAGGCACCACAGGCTCCCAGCACTGGCACCAGACTGGCATCCAGAGTGCTGTCCTGAGTGGCGGCCGGGATGGGCATGGCAAGACGGGCTTCCCAGAACGAGGGGACCCAGCCTGGGTGGGGGATGGGGCTTGGACAGCCATGAGACGGGAGACACAGAGGAGATGGAGAAGGGGGAAATGGGGGAGAACTGGGGGGCATCAGATACAGGAATGAGGCAGAGCTGGACCCAGCCATGGCTTGCAGCCCTGAGGTCCCGGGGCACCTCCTCGTGGGACAGGACACAGCTCCTCAAGGTGGAGCAGGAGTGACGGGCACCACAGGCTCCCAGCACTGGCACCAGACCAGCACCCAGAGCCCTGCCCAGAACAAGGGGGGACCGAGCCTGCGGAGGGATGGAGCCTGGACAGCCATGACATGGAGAAGGGGGAGTTGGAGGAAATGGAGATGGGCAAGACGGAGGGTACGGGGGAGATGGAGGAGATGGAGGAGAAGGGGGAGATAGAGAACGGGGGAGTTGGGGAAGAACTGGTGGGCATCAGATGCAGGAATGAGGCAGACAGGACCCAGCCATGCCCAGCAGTTCCTAGAGGAGACACGGCTCCCAGGTGGGACTGGGAGGCCTTTATGACTCAGAGCCGGGGAAGGAGCAGAGGCCAGAGGTCGTCACCAGCACAATGCCCACTGGCCGCCTTGCTCAGGCCAAGGGGTTGGACCCCACATGGCACAGGAGCCCCGTCTGCTGCAACCCTAAGATGCACATCCTGTGGCTGAAAGAGATGCGGCCCCTGGGGCGGCGCAGACCCCACGTGGCACAAACGACCCGGCTGAGTCTAAAGCCTGCAGACAAGACCACTCACGCGGCAACACACTGCTGTGTGGCTACAGGAGGGGCCTCGAACCATGTTCCCCATGACCCACAGGCAGACCCTGGGAGGGCAGGGATGCCCCCCGTCGTGCCAACCTCTGTAGAAGTCACATCCCCAGCCTCGGCTGCTGCACATGCCAAGCCAAGCCAAGCCAACCAAGCCAGCCAGCCAGCCAAGCCAGCCAGGCCGGCCCAGCCGGCCAAGCCAGCCAAGCCACCCAGCCGGCCAAGCCATCCAAGCCAGCCAACCAACCCAGCCAGGCAAGCCAGCCAAGCCACCCAGTCAAAGCCAGCCAGCCAGCCAAGCCAGCCAAGCCAGCCAGCCAGCCAAGCCAGCCAAGAGGCCCAGCCAGCCAAGCCACCCAGCCAAGCCAGCCAGCCAGCCAAGCCACCCAAGCCAGCCAGCCAGCCAGACAAGCCAGCCAGCCAGCCAAGCCAGCCAAGACAGCCAAGCCACACAGCCAGCCAAGCCAGCCAGCCAGGTAGCCAAGCCAGCCATCCAAGCCAGCCAAGCCACCCAGCCAGCCAAGCCAGCCAAGCCACCCAGCCAAAGCCAGCCATCCAGCCAAGCCAGCCAACCAGCCAAGCCAGCCAAGCCAGCCAGGCAGCCAGCCAAGCCAGCCAGCCAGCCAAGCCAGCCAAGCCACACAGCCAACCAAGCCAGCCAAGCCAGCCAGCCAGCCAAGCCAGCCAAGCCACACAGCCAACCAAGCCAGCCAAGCCACACAGCCAACCAAGCCAGCCAAGCCAGCCAGCCAGCCAAGCCTGCCAGCCAACCAAGCCAGCCAAGCCAACCAAGCCACCCAGCCAAAGCCAGCCAGCCAGCCATGCCAGCCAGCCAGCCAGGCCAGCCAAGCCACCCAGCCAGCAAGGCCAGCCAAGCCCGCCAAGCCACCCAGCCAGCCAAGGCAGCCAAGCCTCCCAGCCAAAGCCAGCCAGCCATCCAAGCCAGCCTAGCCAGCCAGCGAGCCAAGCCAGCCAAGCCACCCAAGCCAGTGAAGCCAGCCAGCCAGCCAAGCCAGCCAAGCCATATAGCCAGCCAAGCCAGCCAAGCCTGCCAGCCAGCCAAGTCACCCAGTCAGCCAGCCAGCCAGCCAAGCCAGCCAAGCCAGCACAGCCAGCCAAGCCAGCCAAGCCATCCAAGCCAGCCAAGCCACCCAGCCAGCCAAGCCAGCCAAGCCACCCAGCCAAAGCCAGTCAGGCAGTCAAGCCAGCCAGTCAGCCAAGACAGCCAAGCCAGCCAGGCAGCCAGCCAAGCCAGCCAGTCAGCAAAGACAGCCAAGCCAGCCAGGCAGCCAGCCAAGCCAGCCAGCCAGCCAAGCCAGCCAAGCCACACAGCCAGCCAAGCCAGCCAAGCCAGCTAGCCAGCCAAGCCTGCCAGCCAGCCAAGCCAGCCAAGCCACCCAGCCAAAGCCAGCCAGCCAGCCAAGCCAGCCAGACAGCCAGGCAAGCCAAGCCACCCAGCCACCCAGGCCAGCCAAGCCAGCCAAGCCACCCAGCCAGCCAAGGCAGCCAAGCCTCCCAGCCAAAGCCAGCCAGCGATCCAAGCCAGCCTAGCCAGCCAGCCAGCCATGCCAGCCAAGCCAGCCAGCCAGTCAAGCCAGCCAAGAAATCCAGCCGGCCAAGGCAGCCAAGCCACCCAGCCGGACAAGCTAGCCAAGCCAGCCAAGACACCCAGCCGGCCAAGCCAGCCAAGCCACCCAGCTCGCCAAGCCAGCCAAACCACCCAGCCAAAGCCAGCCAGCCAGCCAAGCCAGCCAAGCTCGCCCGGCCAGCCAAGCCAGCCAAGTCACCCAAGCCACCCAGCCAGCCAAGCCACCCAGCCAAGTCAGCCAGTCAGCCAAGCCAGCCAAGCCAGCCAGCCAGCCAGCCAAGCCAGCCAAGCCACCCAGCCAGCCAAGCCAGCCAAGCCACACAGTCAAGCCAGCCAAGCCACCCAGACAGCCAAGCCAGACAGCCAAGCCAGCCAAGCCACCCAGCCAGCCATGCCAGCCAAGCCAGCCAGCCAATCCACCCAGCCAGCCAAGCCAGGCAAGGCAGCCAGCTAGCCAAGCCAGCCAGCCAAGCCAGCCAAGCCAGCCAAGCCACCCAGCCAGCCGGAAAGAGAGAGAGAGAAAAGGAAGGAAGGAAGGAAGGACGGAAGGAAGGAAGGAAGGAAGGAAGGGAGGGAGGAAGGAATGAAGGAAGGGGAGAGAGAGAGAGAAAGAAAGAAAGAGAAAGAAAGAGAGAGAGAAGGAAAGAAAGAAAGCGAAGGAAGGAAGGAAGAAAGGAAGGAAGGACAGAAAGAAAGAGAGAGAAAGAACTAAAGAAGGAGAGAGAGAAAGAAAGAAGGAAGGAGAGAGAGAGAAAGGAAGAAAGAAGGAAGGAAGGAGAGAGAGAAAGAAAGAAGAAAGAAAGAGAGAAAGAAAGAAGGAAGGAGAGAGAGAAAGAAAGGAATAAAGAAGGGTGGAAGGAAGGAGAGACAGAGAAAGAAAGAAGGAAGGAAAGAAAGAAGGAAGCAAGGAAGGAAGGAAAGAGAAAGAAAGAAAGAAGAAAGAAAGAAAGAAAAAGAAAGAAGGAAGGAAAGAAAGAAGGAAGCAAGGAAGGAAAGAGAAAGAAAGAAAGAAAGAGAAAGAAAGAAAGAAAGAAAGAAAGAAAGAAAGAAAGAAAGAAAGAAAGAAAGAAAGAAAGAAAGAGAAAGAAAGAAAGGTACACTGCTCAGGAATCTCCTTTTCCTGTGGCCGGGGCAAGATTCTTTGCATTTTTCTCTGCAGGGAAAAAACAAAACCACACACTCACACACTACACACACACAGCAATAAGCTTTCATCCAGCCGGCACAAGACAGTTTCCTAGAGAGTCTGTACACAGTCACGGTGCTGGAGGCTCAATTTCAGATTGGGTTAAAGTGCCCTGCAAACGGGCATTTGCAGAGGGCATGGGAGAGGCTACTGGAGAATTAAGAGCTGCAGAGACGAGGGTCTCCGGCCATCACCTTTGCAGCTGTAGGAGAGAGGAGGTGATTAGGGAAGCTCCGTGTTCCCTTCTGAGCCTGGCAGGTGCGTTGTCCCCACCCTGCCCCCAGCACCGCAATGCAGGCCCTGCTTTCAGATTTAGCAAAGGTAACTTCCTCTGGCACCCCCAGGCTTCTGCTTCCAGCACAGCGACTGTGACTTGGTGTTTGCACCTCGGTCCTCACAGAATTCGCCCACCTCAACTCAATCTTCCTCTCCTGGTGGTACCATTAATATTTTAATTTAATCAGAATTTCTGGGACTGGCTTGCCATCCTGAACAAACTAGTTACCTGTCAGCCTCTATCAGCTTGTCATATTAGAGAGGATTGTCCTAGGAATCTAATCTGCTTTAAATGATTTCGTGGGGTGTTGGTCTATAAATCATCTCGATGCAGGTCTGACAACGTGAAGGATTCGGTGGGTAAATAAACCACACTTGTTTTATTTTCAGCAGGCACAGACTTTGCTTTATCAACTTCTTATTGATTTTCGTGCTCCAAGAGGTCAAAAAAATGTTTTTGCTTCTCCTTTACATACAAAAACATTATTCATAGAAGAGCTGTGGGCAGGCAACTCTCATTAACATAAGTTCTGAGATTCGCAGGCGAGCTGGCTGGTTGGAGAAACGACACACACCTGTTTCAGCCAAGCCCCTGGTGGAGTTTGGAGTTTCCAAAACGTTGACTTTTCCTCTTTCTGCTCAAAATAGAAATTATATGGATATTAAGGAGCCCCAAGTCTCTTCAGGGATGTGGAGGAACCCTGGACATACAAATACACACACACACACACACACACGTACACACACTCACCACCCCATGCCAAGAAGATACACAGTATACTCACTTACCCTTCACTTGAGTTTGCAAATTTGGAGCTGACTTAATGAAGGAAAGAAAAATTGCAGCTACAAAGTAACACAGAGCCAATGAAAAGACAAAAACCACGATTAGATTTTCTTCTCTTCTAAAGTTTTATTTTATTTTTAAGAATCATCGTTCAGATCAGGCACAGTGGCTCACGCTTGTAATCCCAGCGCTTTGGGAGGCTGAGGTGGGAGAATCACAAGGCCAGAAGTTCAAGACCAGCCTGGGCAACATAGCAAGATCCCATCTCTTAAAAAAAAAAAGTACAAAAGTTAGCTGGACCGACTGGTGTAGACCTGTATTTCCAGCTACTGGGGAGGCTGAGGTGGAAGGATGGTTTGAGTCCAGGAGGTTGAGGCTGCACTGAGCCATGATTGCATCACTGCACACTCCAGCTTAGGCAACAGAACAAGACCCTGTCTCAAGAAAAAAACTCCATAGTGATTGTACACATTTATGACATATAATGTTTCCAAGCACGTGTATATCATGTAATGACACCTCATGGTAATTATCAGATCCAGCTGCTCAGAAATCTCATTTTCCAGTGGCTGAGGAATATGCATTTTTTTTTTTTTTGAGACAGAGTTTCGCTCTTGTCACCCAGGCTGGAGTGCAATGGCATGATCTTGGCTCATTGCAACCTCCGCCTCCCAGGTTCAAGCGATTCTCCTGCCTCAGTCTTCCAAGTAGCTGGGATTACAGGCGTGTGCCACCACGCCTGGTTAATTTTGTATTTTCAATAGAGACGGGGTTCCATCATGCTGGTCAGGCTGGTCTTGAACTGCTGACCTCAAGTGATCCACCTCCCTCAGCCTCACAAAGTGCTGGGATTACAGGCGTGAGCCACCATGCTCTGCAATATGTATCTTTTTTAAAAACTTTATTTTTCCATAAGTTATTGGAGTACAGGTGGTATTTGGTTACATGAGTAAGTTATTCAATGGAGATTTGTGAGAACGTGGTGTGCCCAACACCCGAACACTATACATTGTATCAAATTTGTTGTCTTTTATCCTTCACCCCATTCCCACACTTCCCTCCAAGAAAATCTCTCTTTGGACTATTTTGTAATATTCAATATATTCTTGTTAAATATTGTCACCCTGAAGAGAAATAAAACTATGTAATTTAGTCCTATTTAATTGTAACTTTGTACACGTGGACCAACCTCTTTCCATCCCTTCTTTCTCCCTCCCTTCCCCAGCTTCTGGTAATCACCACTGTGGTGTTAATTCCTAGGAGATCAACTCTTTATTTTTATTTTTATTTTTTTTTTTGAGACAGAGTTTTGCTCTTGTCACCCAGGCTGGAGTGCAATGGCATGATCTTGGCTCACTGCAAACTCCGCCTCCCGGGTTCAAGCTATTCTCCTGCCTCAGCCTCCCCAGTAGCTGGGATTACAGGCATGTGCCACCACGTTTGGTTAATTTTGTATTTTCAGTAGAGACGGGGTTTCATCATGCTGGCCAGGCTGGTCTCAAACTCCTGACCTCAAGTGATCCACCGACCTCAGCCTCCCAAAGTGCTGGGATTACAGGTGTGAGCCACCGCGCCTGGCCAACCCACTCCTCTTTCAGGGGCTTAAATAAAATTTGCTTTTCTCCCCAAAGGCAGGTCCCCACCCCACTCAGCCGTTTTAAAGGGTGGAGTGTAAACGGTGGGTTGCCGAATTCCTGCTGCCGTGAAATACTTCAGCTTAGAGCAGAAAGCCGGGCGCAGACACCATGCTTTATTTCTATTTCCGTGAACAAGAAGTGTCTCTTGCAATCTGCAATATTTTTCGTCAAAAAGTTCACTGGCTGTTGTATCAAATCAGCCACCTCTATAGGGTGTGATCTTTGACAATTTTTTGTTACATCCCGATGGCCGTCTTACCTGGACCATTTTCTTCCTTTCATGGGTGAAGTAAAACTCCTTGGCATACTTTTTTTTTTTTTTTTTTTGAGACAGAGTCTCGCTCTGTCACTCTGTTGCCCAGGCTGGAGTGCTGTGGTGCGATCTCGACTCACTGCAACCTCCGCCTCCTAGGTTCACGCCATTCCATTCTCCTGCCTCAGCCTCCCGAATAGCTGGGACTACAGGTGCCTGCCACCACGCCCAGTTAATTTTTTGTATTTTTAGTAGAGACGGGGTTTCACCGTATTAGCCAAGCTGGTCTCTATCTCCTGACCTTGTGATCCGCCCGCCTCGGCCTCCCAGAGTGCTGGGATTACAGGCACCTGCCACCATACCTGGCTAATTTTTGTATTTTTAGTAGAGATGGGGTTTCACCATGTTGGCCAGGCTGGTCTCAAACTCACGACCTTGTGATCTGTCCGCCTCAGCTTCCCAAAGTGCTGGGGTGACAGGCATGATCCACCACACCTGGCCGCCTTTTCTACTTTCAATTTGCTAACTGGTGAATAATAGTTTGCAGTAATGAGCCCAGAGGGAATGAGTGGAGCCCAGCCACACATTATTAGAACCTGTCACCCAGTGCAGATACTCACCTGGGATGCGGGCAATGATGCTCAACTCAGACCTGTGCCAGTGCTGGTGACTCCGAGGGACCCGGGTGGCTGGAGTCTGTGTTAGACTCAGGAGTCCCTTCCAGGTCCACGCTGTGAAAACAGCAAGTGTCCAAAGCAGTCCACTCAGGTAAGTAAGAAATTGCAGGATGACACTGAGTTCTGTGTGGTTTCCAGAATGTCCTTACAGAAACCGGGATGAGAAGCTGGGAGAGGTGCCTCATGCCTGTCATCCCAGCACTTTGGGAGGCTGAAGCAGGAGGGTCACCTGAGATCAGGAGTTTGAGACTAGCCTGGCCAACATGGTGAAAACCCCCTGTCTACTAAAATTAGAAAAAAATAATTAGCCAGGCATGGTGGCATGCACCTGTAATCCCAGCTACTTGGGAGGCTGAGGCAGGAGAATTGCTTGAACCCAGGAGGTGGAGGTTTCAGTGAGCCAAGATTACGCCCCTGCACTCCAGGCTGGTTGACAGGGCAAGATTCTATCTCCAAAAAAAAAAAAAAAAAGGCCAGGCACAGTGGCTCACGCCTGTAATCCCAGCACTTTGGGAGGCTGAGGCAGGCAGATCACCTGAGGTCAGGAGTTCCAGACCAATGTGGCCAACATGATGAAACCCCATCTCTACCAAAGATACAAAAAATTAGCAGGGCATGGTGGCAGGTGCCTATCATCCCAGCTACTCAGGAGGCTGAGGCAGGAGAATCGCTTGAACCCAGGAGGCAGAGGTTGCAGTGAGCTGAGATCGTGTCACTGTACTCCAGCTGGGCAACAGAACGAGACTCCATCTCACAAAAAATAAAAATAAAAAAAAAACGGGGTGGGGTGGCCCAGCCATTTAGTATACTTTCTCCCCTGGTGAGAACCATCCATTTCCAGAATGTGTGTCACAGAGAGTGGAACACAGGTCCTGGCTGCACTCCCAAAAACTCACTGGTGTCCAGGGATTTGGAAGTATATGGCCTTTGAACGTCTGAACACCCTCAGTTCTCCATCATATTCTCCAACTCCCCTGCATGGAGATGTGGGCCTTTTAGGGTCGTTTCCACCCTTTTAGGGTCTCTTTGCTAGCCTTCCATTGGCAAGAACAATTACCAAAAGGAGGTACCCAGCTCTAACCCTGCAGAACAAACAGAGAGCCCAGTAGCCTGGCAGCCAGAGAGCCTTTCTCTAAAACAGGCATCACTGGCAACCTCATTGAAATGGGATGATTCATTATCCTGTTTCCATTTAATTGTTATTTTGCCGGCAGAAAAGCCTGGAGTTTCTCCGAAAAGCAGCGATGGTGTTGTCCTTTTAGATTCCCCAGGGAATAATCTTAAAAAATTGCCTGCCCAGCTTCCTGAGTGCCCAGCATTTGCCTTCACATTAACTTACGCTATAAAGTACAGATGTTGCAGAGGGGAGGGCATCCAAGCCCCTGGCTTCCCAGAGAAATTGGTAAGGGTTGTCTGCAGCTTCCCAGCCTTAAAAATACTAGACAAGTTGACATCCTCACTGCTAATTGGGGCTGATGGAGCCTCGTCAACCCCAGGACCCGCTGATCAGCTGTGGCAGGAATCATACCCACAGTGTTATGTGAAGTGATGAGTTGGATTTGCTTCCAGCAGGGTGAAAGCAATGGATTTCACTTGTTCTCAATGTACAGCAAGAGAAAAGTGAGGGACTGACTCACAAAACCTGTGTTCCCTCCGTTTGCATCTCAGTCATCTCTGAAATACATTGCAAATTGTTTAAACCTTAAAAACACAGCGGCATGAATGTGCGTCCTGATGGCACCAGCTTTTGATAAGATGATAGGCTGTGGCGATGGATTTCAGATGTGAGTTCCTGTGCTTGCCAAAATGCTGGATGAAAGATGAAGGTAATTGCTAGCGTTGTTGGCCTTGCCAATAATCTCTCTCTCTCTCTCTCTTGTTTTTTCTTTTTTATTTTGCTTCAAGAATCTGGTTGCCTTAATGAGGATCTTCGCCCTGCTAAGATGATCTTTCACATCTGGAACAAAACACAGAAGCTCCGCCTCAGCCAGAGTGATGGGGAGCCATGTGGCCCTGAAAGCTCTCGATGGCCAGATCAGAAATGATTTTTGACAGGACCAGGCTGAATTCCCTAAGTACATTCACAGCCACCCGCCCCTCTCCTCTCCCCCCACTCTTTTTTTTTTATTTTAATGGTCCAAAATTGGCTGTTTAATATCTGAGCATGCCAGAGTCTTGGAGGATGCCAGAAATGGAAGGTTTGTGCCCGGGGTCATAGGAAGGTCTCTACCAGGTGAGGCAGCGTGATGCCAGTCCCCAGTGAACAAGGAGGCAGCAGCCCTGTCCAGTGTATGAGCGTGACCTTGGGGATCTGTGTAGATAGAAATTTCTGGAAGGTTTTAAGCAGGTTAGGTTCCCACCCCATCACCCTGTTTCACCATAGATACTCTATGAATAAAAAAGAGATTAAAAATGTCTCTCAGCCAGGTGCAGTGGCTCACGCCTGTAATCCCAGCGCTTTGGGAGGCTGAGGCGGGCGGATCACTTGAGGTCAGGAGTTCAAGACCAGCCTGGCCAACATGGCCAAACACCATCTGTACTGAAAATACAAAAATTAGCCAGGCGTGGTGGCGGGTGCCTGTAGTCCCAGCTACTCGGGAGGCTGAGGCAGAAGAATTGCTGGAACCTGGGAGGCAGAAGTTGCAGTGAGCCAAGGTTGTGCCACTGCATTCCAGCCTGGGCCACACAGTGAGACTCCGTCAAAGTAAAAAAAGTGGGGGAAGGAAGGAAGGGA
This sequence comes from Homo sapiens, assembly GCF_000001405.40. NCBI lineage: Eukaryota > Metazoa > Chordata > Mammalia > Primates > Hominidae > Homo > Homo sapiens. The sequence continues at coordinate 1,783,928 of NT_187383.1, read as the reverse complement.
GGGAGGGAGGAAGGAAGGGGGGAAGGATGGAAGGAAAGGAAGGAAGGAAGGGAAGGAAGGAAGGGAAGGAAGGAAGGAAGGGAAAGAGGGAGGAAGAGAAGGAGGGAAGGAGGGAGGGAGGAAGGAAGGGGGAAGGATGGAAGGAAAGGAAGGAAGGAAGGGAAGGAAGGAAGGAAGGGAAAGAGGGAGGAAGAGAAGGAGGGAAGGAGGGAGGGAAGGAAGGAAGGGTGGGAGGGAAAGAAAGAATGAGAGAGGGAGGGAAGGAAGGAAAGAAGGAAGGAAGGAGAGAAGGAAGGGAAGGAAAGAGGGAGGGAAGGAAGGAAGGGTGGGATGGAGGAAGGGAGGGAGGGAAGGAAGGAAGGAAGGAAGGAAGGAAGGAAGGAAGGAATTACAGGAAGGATTTAAGCAGGTTAGGTTTCAACCCTCTGACCTTGTTTCACCATAGACCCTCCATAAATAAAAGAGAGATTAAACCTGTGTCTTTCACAATGCAGCCTGTCGACAAAAATGAGGAATGGGATTTGGAGCTCCATGTCAGTTGCAATGGCCACACTGGAAAGCCTAGGAGGCTGCTCTGGAAACAGAGGGGCTGTTCCAGGTGATGCCAAACTAGCACAGACGAGGCTCAGAAGAGACACCTGTGACAGATATGGAAGACACCTTCAGAAAGGGCAAAATTCAGCCACCTAAGCACAATCAAGGCCAAACAGACGGCTGTCATGGAATCAGCCAGTGTCCCACAGCCCAATACACACTGACATTGTAACATAACCTTTACCTGAGAAAATGCCCATGTTCACTGCCTGGAGAAGCAAGCTACACTCTACAAAGAAATATCCAGTGAGCACAACAAGAGACATCTAACCTACACTGTAAAATAGAAATAATGAGTCTCCTGCATCTGGGGATCCACCTACACTTTACACTAGACACACCCAGTGGCTTCCATTTGGGATACACCAACACTCTACAGTAGATACACTGAATGTCCTCCAGCTGGGGATGCACTTACACTCTGCAATAGATACATTCAATGTCCTCCATTGGGGGGATCCATCTACACTCTACACTAGGCACACTCAATGTCCTCCATCTGGGGATCCTCCTACACTCCACAATAGATACACTCAATGTCCTCCATGTGGGGATCCACCTACACTCTACAATATATACACTCAATGTCCTCCATCTGGGGATCCACCTACTCTCTACAATAAACCAACTCAATGTGCTCTGGCGGATCCATCTACACTCTACAATAAACCAACTCAATGTGCTCCATCTCGGGATCCACCTACACTCTGCAATAGACACACTAAATGTCCTCCATCTGGGGATACACCTACGCTTTACAATAGATACACCCACTGTCCTCCATCTGCGGATCCACCTACATTTTACAATAGACACACTCAATGTCCTCCATCTGCTTATCCACCTACACTCTACACTAGATACCCTCAATGTCCTCCATCTAGGGATCCACCTACATTCTACAATAAACAAACTCAAATGCGCTCCATCTGGGATCCACCTACACTCTGCAATAGACACACTCAATATCCTCCATCTGGGGATCCACCCACACTCTACAATAGACACACCTAGTGTCCTCCATCTGGGGGATACACCTACACTCTACAATAGACACACTCACCATACTCCATCTGGGGATCCACCTACACTCTACAATAGACACACTCAGTGTCCTCCATCTGGGGATCCACCTACACTCTACCATAGAAACACTCAGTGCCCTCCATCTGGGGGATACACCTACACTCTACAATAGACACACTCACCATCTTCCATCTGGGGATCCACCTACACTCTACAATAGACACACCCATCTGGTGATCCACCTACACTCTACAATAGAAACACTCAGCGTCCTCCATCTGGGGATCCACCTACACTCTGCAATGGAAATACTCAGCGTCCTCCATCTGGGGATCTACCTACACTCTACAATAGAAACACTCAGCATCCTCCATCTGGGGGATCCACCTACACTCTACAAGAGACACACTCACCATTCTCCATCTGGGGGATACACCTACACTCTACAATAGACACACTCACCATCCTCCATCTGGGGATCCACCTACACTCTACAATAGTCACACCCATCTGGAGATCCACCTACACTCTACAATAGAAACACTCAGCGTCCTCCATCTGGGGGATACACCTACACTCTACAATAGACACACTCAGTGTCCTCCATCTGGGGATTCACCTACACTCTACAATAGACACACCCATCTGGGTATCCACCTACTCTCTCCAATAGACACACCCATCTGGATATCCACCTACAGTCTCCAATAGACACACCCATCTGGGGATCCACCTACACTCTCCAATAGACACACCCATCTGGGGATCCACCTACACTCTCCAATAGACACACCCATCTGGGGATCCACCCACACTCTATTGTAGATCCACAATCTACAATAGACACACTCAGCGTCCTCCATCAGGGGATCCACCTACACTGTACAATAGAGAAACCCAGTGACCACCATCTTGGCACCCACCTACACTCTACAATAGATATAGATTTCCAGTGTCCCCTGTTTTGGGAACCTACCTGCACTCTGCAATTAATATGCACATCATCGACTTTCTGGGGTTTCTCCCTGCAATCTGGCATACACCTTTTCATCGTTCACTGTCCTTGAGTAGCTGAGGGTCATTGCTCAGGCATTTTTGGAAGGAAGGTTGGTCTTAATCTAAGGCATCTTTGGAAGGAAGGTTGGTCTTAATCGAAGACATTTTAGGAAGGAAAGTTGGTTTGAATCTAAGGTATTTTTGGAAGGAAGGTTGGTCTTAACCTAAGGCATTTTTGGAAGGAAGGTTGGTCTTAATCTAAGGCATTTTTGGAAGGAAGGTCGGTCTTAATCTAAGTCATTTTTGGAAGGAAGTTTGGTCTTAATCTAAGCCATGTTTGGCAGGAAGGTTGGTCTTAATCTAAGGCATTTTTGGAAGGAAGGTTGGTCTTAACCTTGTGTCCACCTGCAGGTTGTTATGTTTTATTCTTGTGTTTTCTCTCACTTTTTTGCCTAGCAGAAGCACAGCCATGAAGCTGTGTCCATGAGATATTCTGTAGAGCCTGGAATAATCCCTCCTTTCCACATCTTGTCCCGCCATGGAGTGCCCCAGAGTTCTGGGACGTGGAAGGTGCCGTCCTCTGCCTGACACGGTGCTGCCCGGCTCCCTCCTCATCCCAGTGGCTTCCCAAACTCCCTGGACCTGCTGGAGGAAACACCTGTGCTGAAGACCCGGCGGCCCTTCCCTCCAAACCCTGACTCTGGGGTCAGCGACGCCAACAGGTGTTTTTTCTCAGAATCGCCTTCTTGTCTGAATTGAGCCCTGGGATCAGAAGGCCAAGGGGCCAGAGGTCAGATGCAGCCACGCAGGGTTCCCTGGGGGCCAGGGCTTACCAGGTGGTTAATATTATCAGAGCTCATTTGCTGAAGCTGGACTGGCGTGTTCTCAGCGGTCCCAAATAAATTTAACAAGAGCCACTTTCAAAGCCCACCTATTAGGGCCATCTATTCAATGGACAGGAGGGTTAACAGTAATTTGAGGAGGCAGCTTGGCCGTCTTCAAATAGGAACACATGGACTGTGCAGCTTGGCCCCATTTGTGGTAATTTCGAGGTCTCATTTCCATTTGTAAGAAACATAACTACTTACATATGGAAAGAATGAATAAGAGAAGTCATTAAAATTTCTCTAATTTAGGAAAAAAATTTAAAAAAAAGTAATGAAGTAATATCTTTACCAGGGCAGGCAGAAATGTAAATTAGACATTAGAAGAAAAACCTATTAACAGGATGGCTGGATGGCTGTGTTGCTTTCCTGTTTTTTTTTTAAATCTAATGAATTTATGAATTGCTAGTTGTGGGGTCACAGATTTTGTTAATTTCCTATGTGTTTAGCTCTGCAGTAAGAAGGGAGGGTTTGCATATGAAACACGGATGATAACTCCATTAGCGGGGCGTTTGCTAATCAGAACACAAATGGTAATACGTTCGGTCCAGCATTAAAAAAAAAAAAAAAAAAGACAGAAAAACACATGAATTATTTGAAGTTGGGGTTTTTCCAACTTCTGTCCGTTGTTCCTGCAGGTCATCAGAAAATTTAAACATCAGGGAGTAAGAGGTGACCTAGCTAGGTAGCTGCCTGATTATAAAATATATGTGAAAGCTTTCTTTAAAACAAAACAAAACAAAACAAAACAAAACAAAAAAAAAACAGTCTGGCTTTGTCGCCCAGGCTGGAGTGCAATGGTGAGATCTCGGCTCACTGCAACTTCTGCCTCCCGGGTTCGAGCGATTCTCCTGCCTCAGCCTCCCGAGGAGCTTGGATTACAAGTGCCCATCACCATGTCCAGCTAATTTTTGTATTTTTAGTAGAAACGGGTTTCACCAGGTTGGCCAGGCTGGTCGCGAACTCCTGACCTTAGGTGATCCGCCTGCCTCCATCTCCCAAAGTGCTACAGTAAAAAGGGAGGGTTTGCTTATGAACCATGGATGCTAACTCCATTAGCGGGGTGGTTGCTAATCAGAACACAAATGGTAATACATACGGTCCAGCATTAAAAAAAAAAAAGACATAAAAACAAATGAATTATTTCAAGTTGGGGTTTTTCCAACTTCTGTCCGTTGTCCCTGCAGGTCATCATAAAATTCAAACATCAGGGAGTAAGAGGTGACCTAGCTAGGTAGCTGCCTGATTATAAAATATATGTGAAAACTTTCTTTCTTTTTTTTTTTTTTTAAACAGAGTCTTGCTTTGTCACCCAGGCTGGAGTGCAATGGTGAGATCTTGGCTCACTGCAAACTCCGCCTCCTGGGTTCGAGCGATTCTCCTGCCTCAGCCTCCCGAGGAGCTGGGATTACAAGTGCCCACCACCATGTCCAGCTAATTTTTGTATTTTTAGTAGAAACGGGGTTTCACCATGTTGGCCAGGCTGGTCTCGAACTCCTGACCTTAGGTGATCCGCCTGCCTCCACCTCCCAAAGTGCTGGGATGACAAACGTGAGCCACCGTGGCCGGCCAAAAAAAATTTTTTTTAAATGGAGTCATGCTCTGTTGTCTAGGTTGGAGTGCAGTGGAGCAATCATGACTCACTGAAGCCTCAACTTCCTAGGCTCAGGTCATCCTCCCACCTCAGCCTCCCAAGTAGCTGAAACTATACGCATACGCAACCACATCTGAGTAGTTTTTAGGTTTTTTGTAGAGACAGGGTTTCACCATGTTGCCCGGGCTGGTCTCTAACTCTTGAGCTCAAGCCATCTGCAGGTCTTGGTCTCCTGAAGAGCTGGAATTACAGGCTTGAGCCACTGTGGCCAGCCTTAAAATGTTTTGTTGACAGGCCGGGCACAGTGGCTCATGCCTATAATCCCAGCACTTTGGGAGGTCGAGGCGGGTGGATCACCTGAGGTCAGGAGTTCAAGACCAGCCTGACCAACATGAGAACAGCCTGACCCCATCTCTACTAAAAATACAAAAATTAGCTGGGTTTGGTGGTGGGTGCCTGTAATCTCAGCTACTTGGGAGGCTGAGGCAGGATAATCACTTGAACTCAGGAGGCAGAGGTTGCGGTGAGCTGAGACCGTGCCACCAAACCCAGCTAATTTTTTTGTTTGTTTGTATTTTTAGTAGAGACAGGGTTTCACTATGTTGGCAAGGCTGGTCTTGAACTCCTGACCCTGTGATCCACCTGCCTCAGCCACCCAAAGTGCTGAGATTACAGGTATGAACCACTGTGCCCAGCCCATCCCCTCTTCTTATGAGATGTCTTAGTCCATTTCAGACTGCCATCCCAGAACACCATAGACTCGGTGGCTTAAAAACAACAGACATTGATTCTCCCACAGTCCTGGAGGCTGGAAGTCTGAGATCCAGGTGTGGGAAGGGCTGTTTTTTCCTAAGGCCTCTCTCCTGGGCTTGGAGATGCCGTCTTCTCCCTGTGTCCTCACAGGGTTGTCCCTCTGTATATGTCTGTGTCCTATCTCCTCTTCTTATGAGATGTCTTAGTCCATTTCAGGTTGCTATCACAGAATACCATAGACTGGGTGACTTATAAACAACAGACATTGATTCTCCCACAGTCTTGGAGGCTGGAAGTCTGAGATTAATGTGTGGGCTGGGTTGGTTCCTCCTGGGGCCTCTCTCCTGGGCTTGCCGACACCATAGTCTCCCTGTGTCCTCACATGGTCATCCCTCTGTTTGTGTCTGTGTCCTCATCTCCTCTTCTTATGGGATGTCTTAGTCCATCTTAGGCTGCCATTACAGATCACCATTAGACTGGGTGGCTTAGAAACAACAGACATTGATTCTCCCACATCCCAGTGGGTTGAGACCAAGCAAATAAATGATAATCCTGGAAAGCAGGTGTGTGCAGGTTTAAGAGGAGGCAGAAAGAGAAGGGAGCCATCATTTGTCCCAATCCCTCCATGTGTCTTCATCCTACATCAAGTGGAAATGACTACACTGTGTCTGGGCCAGGCACGGTGGCTCACGGCTGTAATCCCAGCACTTTAGGAGGCCGAGGTGGGTGCATCACAAGGTCAAGAGATCGAGACCATCCTGGGCAACATGGTGAAACCCCATCTCTACTAAAAATACAAAAATTAGCTGGGCGTGCTGGTGTACACCTGTAGTCCCAGCTACTCGGGAGGCTGGAAGTCTGAGATCAGGGTGTGGGCAGGGCTGGTTCCTTCTGAGGACCCTCTCCTGGGCTTGTAGACACTATCTTCTCCCTGAGTCCTCATGTGGTCCTCCCTCTGTGTGTGTGTCTGTGTCCTCATCTCCTCTTCTTACAAGGACTTCAGCCTGGGCAACAAGAGCAAAACTCCGTCTCAAAGAAAAAAAAGTTTTGTTACCATATTTTTCCCGGAACTGAGAAGGCTACAGAAATGCTGGTCCTGAAACGGTGTCCATTTCTCTGCTCAATTCTTCTGGGGCATCATCCCAGTTGGTTGAGACCAAGCAAATAAATGATAATCCTGAAGAGCAGGTGTGTGCAGGTTTAAGAGGAGGCAGAGAGAGAAGGAAGTCATCATTTGTCCCAACCCCTCCATGTATCTTCATCCTACTGTAATCAAGTGGAAATGAGTACACTGTGTCTGGACCGGGTGAGGTGGCTCACAGCTGTAATCCCAGCACTTCAGGAGGCCGAGGCAGGTGCATCACAAGGTCAAGAGATTGACACCATCCAGGGCAACATGGTGAAACCCCATCTCTACTAAAAATACAAAAACTAGCCAGGCGTGGTGGTGCACACCTGTAGTCCCAGCACTTTAGGAGGCTGAGGTGGGAGCGTCACAAGCTCAAGAGATCGAGACCATCCTGGGCAACATGGTGAAACCCGATCTCTACTAAAAATACAAAAATTAGCCGGGCGTGGTGATGCACACCTGTAGTCCCAGCTACTTGGGAGGCTGAGGCAGGAGAATCAGTTGAACCCGGGAGGTGGAGGTTGCAGTGAGCCAAGATAATGCCACTGCACTCCAGCCTGGCGAGAGAGTGAGACTCCGTCTAAATAGAAAAAAAAAAATTAATCAGATCTTGTGAGAACTCATTCAGTATCACAAGAACAGCATGAGGGTAACTGTCCCCAAGATTAAATTACCTCCCACTGGGTCCCTCTCATGACACATAAGGAGGATGGAAACCACAATTCATGATAAGGTTTTGGGGTCGGGGGACACAGCCAAACCATATCAAACAGCTTTATTTTTGTCACAAAAGAACTGACATGAGAATCTTGAAGAAATACATGGATTCCCATACTCATTGATGAATTATCCACAATAGCCAAGACATGGACCAAACCAAGCGACCACGAATCGATGAATGGATAAAGAAATTGGGAGAATTATCCACAATAGCCAAGACATGGACCAAACCAAGTGACCATGAATGGATGGATGGATAAAGATATTGGGAGAATTATCCACAATAGCCAAGACATGGACTAAACCGAGCGACCATGAATGGATGAATGGATAAAGGAATTGAGAGAATTATCCACAATAGCCGAGACACGGACCAAACCAAGTATTATCCACAATAGCCAAGACACACAACCAAACCAAGTGACCATGAATGGATGAATGGATAAAGAAACTGGGAGAATTATCCACAATAGCCAAGAAATGGACCCAATCAAGTGACCATGAATGGATGAATGGATAAACAAATTGGGAGAATTATCCACAATAGCCAAGACATGCAACCAAACCAAATGACCATGAATGGATGAATGGATAAAGAAACTGGGAGAATTATCCACAATAGCCAAGATATGGACCAAAGCAAGTGACCATGAAAGGATGAATGCATAAAGAAATTGAGAGAATTATCCACAATAAGCAAGACATGGACAAACCAAGCGACCATAAATGGATGAATGGATAAAGAAACTGGGAGAATTATCCACAATAGCCAAGACATGGACCAAACCAAGTGACCATGAATGGATGAATGGATAAAGAAACTGGGAGAATTACCCACAAGGGCCAAGATATGCAACCAAACCAAGTGACCATGAATGGATGAATGCATAAAGAAATTGGGAGAATTATCCACAATAGCCAAGACATGGACCAAACCAAGTGACCACGAATGGATGAATGGATAAACAAATTGGGAGAATAATCCACAATAGCCAAGACATGGACCAAACCGAGAGACCATGAATGGATGAATGGATAAAGAAATTGGGACATCAATAATGTACATGCATGGGAATATTACTCAGCCTTGAAAAAGAAGAAAATCTTGCCATTTGCAAGAACACAGGTGAACCTGGAGGACATTATATTTCGTGAGATAAGCCAGGCACAGAAACACAAATACTTCATGATCTCCCTTATATGAGGAATCTAAAATAGTCAAACTCATAGAAGCAGAGAGTAGAACTCATACCATATCTTCTGTGGATAGATTTTGGCCAAGAAGAACAATGCATTCATGTGAAACACATGTATTCTTCTGCAGATGTGACCCAAAGGCCTTTGCTGTCTTCATGCCAACAGCTGCCTGTCTTTATCCTCTGAGCCAAGAGATATTCCTCATATCTTCCTCATAGCGGTGCCGCATCGTGAAGCCACAGAAAAGAAGAGACACTTCTGAGATCTGGACCTGCTTTCTGCACTCCCACGAGAGCTGACCACAGGTTTCATCTGTCTCTTTCCCTTTCTTTTTTCATATTTTACTTTTCACTGACCAATAATAATTGCATGTATTTAATATGCAATCATTGTACCCCATAATATGACATATAGAATATATAAAATGTATAAATTTAAATTATATATAATATAATACATATATTTATACATCTATTTATATGTAAAATGAAATATAAATACTATTGTACCACATAATATATGTATAATATAATCAATACATATATTTTAAATATATTTACATATGAATACATGTTTATATGTATTGATTTATTATATTAAAATAAAATAAATATATATCATTGTACCCATTGTATATTTATGTATGTTATATGTATAAATATACATATTTAAAGATATGTAATATATTTAACTATATTACATAACAATCGTATATATTATATATTATATTAATTATATATTCTATAATTATACACATACTATATACTATGTACCATATTATATAGTAATTATACATGTTATATATTATACTATTATATATTGTTTTATTATAATATATTATATAACATTGTAAAATTTAACAATATATTATTATACATTATGTTTTATTATAACATTATATAACATCATAAAATATAATATATTATATATTAGGTTTTATTATAATATATTATATAACATTATAAAACATAATATATTATTATATATAAAATATAATATATTACAATATATTACAATTATATATTACATAATTATACATGTTATATATCATAATTAATAAAATAATACAGTATGTAATGTATCATATATCATATAATATATAATATATAAATATGCATTTACATGTACATATTTATTATATGTATTTATATGTATTAGATGTATAATAAAATAAATATATATTATTATACCCTATTATGTATACACACACGCATATATAGCCTATTATATATATATATATATATATAATGAATTGAAATTAGGATCTATAATGTATATATTATGGGATACAGTGTGACGTTTTGACATAGGCTTATATACATTTCACATTTTGAAATCTCTAAAAGAGTCAATTTTCAACGTTCTCTCCAAGCCCATGTTTAATGCCGCTGTTAAAGTGCAAGCCAACATTTAGGAAGTCCCCAGCTGCACACGTCTCCTTACCCTTCATGCCAAGGCACCATCATCTCCCAAGCTGGGTTCTTGGCATTTTGCACAACAATGTGCCATGCCTAGGCCCCCAAATCCCTGGCATCCTATAAGTGCATTCAACGAGGCTGGGCGCGGTGGCTCACGCCTGTAATCCCAGCACTATAGGAGGCCAAGTCGCGTGGATGGCCTGAGGTCAGGAGTTCGAGACCAGCCTGGCCAACATGGTGAAACCCTATCTCCACTGAAAATACAAAAATTAGCCAGGTGTGGTGGCATGGGCTTGTAATCTCAGCTACTTGGGAGGCTGAGGCAGGAGAATCACTGGAACTCGGGAGGTGGAGGTTGTAGTGCGCTGAGATCGTGCCATTGCACTCCAGCCTGGGCAACAAGAGCAAAACTCTGTCTCAAAATAAATACATAGATGATAGATACATAGATAGATATATAGATACATTCAAGGTCCCCTCAGTTGTCACCATACCCTTGTCCTGTAAAACTCCAACATCTCACAGCCAAGCCCGACTTCTTGTTGTCTGGGCAACAAGAGCGAAACTGCATCTCAAAATAAATACATAAATAATAAATACATTCAATGTCCCCTCAGTTGGCACCATACCCTTGTCCTGTAAAATTCCAACATCCCACAGCCAAGCCCGATTTCTTAGGATGGGTAATTTCTTAGGATAAGAAATCTGTCTTAGGATAAGAAATATGAGGACGGACAGAGAAAACGCAAACACATTGCAAGAAGAAATGCTTCAGGCACAGATTCCTGGGCGTCTAGCTGTCTTCCTGAGCCCCCCAAATGCGTTTTTCTTTACCTAAGAGAGCTCTGGAGACAGTGGGGTTTGTATATGTGGGGTTTGCCCATCTCCTAGGGCTGCTGGTAAAAGGAGATTGTCCTAAGCGCTGGCTTATGGGGCTCCGGGGGGTGTGAACGGCCTCAGAGTGCCGTTTAGACAAGCGCAAACATAAAAGTGAGAGGCTGCTGGAAACGTTTAAAGAAGTGGGAAGAGGCGGCCGGGGGAGCTGGGGGCCGGATCCAGCACCTTGGTCCTGTTGATTTTCACGTCCCAACCACACTGGGTGTGGACGGAAATAGCTGGGTGGGTTTGTGTGAATTAAAACATTTATAGAGCCCTACGCTCCTGTTACCTCTTAGGCGACTTATTAAAGTACAGTTAGTGTAAACACGGGGGTCGTAAACCTGCAGGGCTCAAGCACCAATTAAAATAATAAAAAACAAGGGGCTGCCGCAAACCGAAGGGTCTTTGGCACGGGCTGCAAGGGGGAGGAGGAGGGAGGCCAAGCCAGGCTCCCTGGGAGGGGAGCCCGGAGGATTCCAGCTCCACCAAGAAACACAGAGGTCACAACAAAGAAACAGTGCAATAGGGATTCTGGAAAGAAAAAGGCTACTTTGACAACAGAGATTTCATACCAGGAGATGCATCCCCAGATATGGGACAGCTGAAGATTAAACAACTTTTGGGGGGTTAATCCTGGGTTCCATAAAGACATAGAGATTTCATGCTGCGGACCCAGTGCAACAAAATGGATCAGGTACAATGGGGACGTCACCAAACTGTTCAGCCACTGGTTTTGGGATGGAAGAGGGGCTATGTCTACCCCGCGGGGCTGGGATGGAGGAAGAGTCATGTCTACACCCGAACTCCCTGGGATTGAGATGGAGGAAGGGCTGTGTCCACACTCTCCCCACTGGGGCTGGGATGGAGAAAGAGGGGCCATGTCCACACTATCCTCCTGGGGCTGAGATGATGGAGGAGGAGGAGGGGTGGTGTCCACACTCTCTCCTCTGGGGCTGAGATGATAGAGGAGGAGGAGGGGCCCTGTCCACACCCTCACCTCCAGATGCTGGGATGATGGAGGAGGAGGAGGAGGGGCGGTGCCCACACTCTCCCCTCTGGGGCTGAGATGATGGAGGAGGAGGAGAGGCCGTTTCCACACTCTCCCCACTGGGGCTGGGATGATGATGGAAGAGGAGGTGCAGTGTCCACACTCTCCCCCCGGAGCTGGGATGATGGAGGAGGAGGGGCCGTGTCCACACTCACCCCACTGGTGCTGGGATGATGGAGGAGGAGGAGGGGCCATGTCCACACTTTCCCCCCTGGGGCTGGGATGGAGGAGGAGGAGGGGCCATGTCCACATTCTCAGCTCAAGGGCTGGGATGGAGGAGAAGAGGGGTGGTTTCCACAGCCTCCCCCCAGGGCTGGGATGGAGGAGAAGAGGGGTGGTGTCCACAGCCTCCCCCCAGGGCTGGGATGGAGGAGGAGGAGGGGCTGTGTCCACATTCTCACCCTTGGGGCTGGGAAGGAGGAATTGGCTCTCATGACCCCCTCATTCCTCCCCATCCTCCTGAAACCACCTTAGCAAAAATTATATCTGAAGAAATTATGACAGTGAAAGAGATCAGACCTAACCACCCACCCCTCCATCTTCTTTCTAACCTCGAAACTGTCTTTATTCATTCCTGGGCGTAGTAGCCTCAGAAAGAATTTAGTTTATAGTTTAAACTCTGAAACAAAACTGACAATAGCCCTTTTCTGGGAGGGCAGGGACGCGGGGAAACTTCTTGCTCGGGGACCAGCCTGCCTTGGCAGGACTAATAAATTAGCTACAAGATTAGGAATTATGGTTGAGGGATCATGCTGCCTCTGGCTCCAGGAGTCTGAACCTCCCCCAAATAGCTCCTGGGGATAACATCATTGTTGCACAACCTAAGATCAGTGTTTAAGATATTTTGCAGACCCTGGATTCCAATGCAGCAGATGACACCACACAGACCGGTAATCTGACTCAACCAGATATCAGCCATCCCACACAGGAACAGAAGGCAGCATGAACTCACTTCAGCCTCCCATGATTTCATCCTCAACCTGACCAACCAGCACTCTCTACTTCCTGAGCCCCCACCCACCAAATTATCCTTAAAACTGCCAAACCCTGGCCAGGTGCGGTGGCTCACACCTGTCATCCCAGCACTTTGGGAGGCCGAGGCGGGTGGATCACAGGGTGAGGAGTTTGAGACCAGCCTGACCAACATGGTGAAACTCCATCTCTACTAAAAATAGAAAAATTAGCTGGGTGTGGTGGCAGGTGCCTGTAGTCTCAGCTACTCAGGAGGCTGAGACAGGAGACTCGCTTGAACCTGGGAGGCAGAGGTTGCAGTGAGCTGAGATCACGCCACTGCACTCCAGCCTGGGCAACAAGACTAAAACTCTGTCAAAAAAAAAAAAAAAGGAAGAAAGAAAGAAAAAAAGAAAAAGAAAAATAGCTACTGGGCTGGATAAATGATGCAAGTCCAGAAGAAATGCAGAATCTGGGATCCTTTCAACAGCCACCACCCTCCCATCAGATGGGCTTTTAGATTCCACTAGATACAAGAAATTACACAGAGGCTGGGCACGGTGGCTCACGCGTGTAATCCCAGCACTTTGGGAGGCTGAGGCGGGTGGATCACCTGAGGTCGGGAGTTCGAGACCAGCCGGGCCAACATGGTGAAACCCCATATCTACTAAAAATACAAAAATTAGCCAGGCGTGGGTGGTTGCCTGTAATCCCAGCTACTCAGGAGGCTGAGGCAGGAGAATGGTGTGAACCCAGGAGGTGGAGCTTGCAGTGAGCAGAGATAGCGCCACTGCACTCCAGCCTGGGCAATAGAGTGAGACTCCATCTCAAAAAAAAAAAAAAAAGATTATTAAGAAAGCAAAGTGCTGAAAGTACTGAAGGGATGGGTTGCTGTGGAACGAGAGACTTGGAAAAGAAAGAGACAAAGTATAGAGAAAGAAAAATGGGCCCAGGGGACCGGCATTCAGCATACAGAGGACCGAGTTCCCTTAGTATTTATTGATCATTATCGGTCGTTTCCCAGAGAGGGGGATGTGGCAGGACAATAGGGTAATAGTGGAGAGAAGGTCAGCAGGAAAACATGTGAACAAATGTCTCTGCATCATAAACAAGGTAAAGAAAAAGTGCTATGCTTTGATGTGCATATACATAAACATCTCAATGCCTTAAAGGACAGTGTTGCTGCTAGCACGTCCCACCTCCAGCCCTAAGGCGGTTTTCCCCTATCTCAGTAGCTGGAATATACAATCGGGCTTTACACAGAGACATTCCATTGCCCAGGGACGAGCAGGAGACAGATGCCTTCCTCTTATCTCATCTGCAAAGAAGACTTCCTTCCTCTTTTACTAATCCTACTACATAGACAGAATAGGGGGTTACCAAAAGTAAGAGGAGGAACGCGTCCACCCTAGGTACAATATTCATTTATATATACGATTAAAAAAAAGATCATGGGCAAGCTGGGCATTATGGCTCATGCCTGTCATCCCAGCACTTTGGGAGGCTGAGGCGGGTGGATCACTTCAGGTCATGAGTTCGAGACCAGCCTGGCCAACATGACACAAAACCCCGTCTCTACTAAAATTACAAAAATTGGCCAGGTGTGGTGGTGGGTGCCTGTAATCCCAGCTATTTGGGAGGCTGAGGCAGGAGAATCGTTTGAACTCAGGAGGCAGAGGTTGCGATGAGCTGAAATTGCACCACTATCCATCCATCCATCCATCCATCCATCCATCCATCTATGTATGTATTTATGCATTTATCTATCTATCCATCCATCTATGTATGTATGTATGTATGTATGTATGTATGTATGTGTCTGTCTATCCATCTCTTCATGTATGTATGTATCCATCCATCCATCCATTTATTCATCTATGTATGTATGTATGTATCTATCTATCCATCCATCCATCTATGTATGTATGTATCCATTCATCTACCCATCTATGTATGTATGTATCCATCCAGCCATCTATCCATCTATCCATGTATGTATGTATGTATCCATCCATCTATGTATGTATCTATCTATTTATGTGTCCATCCATCCATCCATCCATGTATGTATGTATGTATGTATCCATCTATGTATATATGTGTCTGTCCATCCATCCATCAACTCATGTATGTATGTATGTATCTATCCATCCATGTATGTATGTATGTATATATCTATTTATCTATCTATCCATCATCTACCATCTATTTATCTCATCTATCTTTCTATTTATCATGTATCTATCAATCATCAATCTGTCCACCCATCTCCTGCCCCCTCCCCCTGTGTATCTACTTGTGTACTTACCTATCTATGGCAACCAGAGAGATTTTACCCCCAGGAGATATTTTGCAATATCTGGTGACAATTTTGGTTGTTACAACTGGGGAGGGGTTGTCCTGGCTCCTGGTGGGTGAAGCCCAGGGTCTCTGCTCAACACCGTACAGTGCCCAGGATGGCCCCACCACAGAGAATCCTCCATCCCCAAATGTCAGCAGAGCCTGGGCTGAGAGATCCTGAAATAGACAAGCATTTCCTTCTCTCAGGTGTAGATTTGATAACTCTACAAAATGTCCATTCCCTGCCACTTTCTCTGATTTTTCACTATTACAGTTCCCCCAAATAGAACGTCGGAACTAACCACAATCACAAATACACTCAGAGCTAAAGCTGCATGGCCCCCTATTGGAGGAAAAACAGGACCCAAGAAACAATTCCTGGCATCCAACTGACCCTTGCAGGTTTCACTAGAACATTCAGAAGTCACTGTGGCTGTCCCCACGGGCCCAGAGTCATTGTGAGAAGCTCAGAGAGGCTGGGGACCCCGCGGACAGCAGCTGGGCATGGAGTCCTGCCTTTGTGCAAAAGTCTTTCAAATTCAAATCTCCCTCCCTCCCCTGGGCTGTAAAATCCCTCCTCCCACCAGTAACACAGCTCTCCCTGGATTTACAGCTGCAATGTTTACCACCAGCCTGCTGAGCTCAGAGCTTAGAGCCAGGCTTACCCTTTCAGAGCGAATTTTCACTGAGGCCAGTCTACTTTCCAAGCAGACTCTAAGAATGTCTTCTAAGCTGTGCCATAACTGTCCAAGTGGTTCTTCCTGCCTGCTGAATAAAGACTCACAGCATTGCTGTAGACAAAGAATTTAAGAGACACAAGACCAGCCATGCCATGTGGGAGGTGGAGTACCTATTCAAAGCTCAGAGATTACGGGTTTTTCAAAGGCAGTTTTGTTACCGGAAAGGGAGTCCTGATCCAGACTCCAAGACAGCGTTCCTGGTTCTTGCAGAAGAAACAATTCAGGGCGAGACCATAGAGTAAAGTGAGAGCAAGTTAATGAAGAAAGTAGAGGGGCCAGGGGTGGTGGCTCACACCTGTAATCCCAGCACTTTGGGAGGCTGAGGTAGGTGGATCACCTGAGGTCAGGAGTTCGAGACCAGCCTGGCCAACACGGTGAAACCCCGTCTCTACTAAAAATACAAAAATTAGCTGGTCGTGGTGGGCGCCTGTCATCCCAGCTACTTGGGAGGCTGAGGCAGGAGAATCGCTTGGATCAGGAAGGCGGAGGTTGCAGTGAGCCGAGATCTTGTCACTGTACTCCAGCCTGTGTGACAGAGCAAGACTGTCCCCCCAAAAAAAAGAAAAAAGGAAAAGAAATAATGAAAATTTTAAAAAATAGCATAAAATGGAAATGTGAAATATAAACTATATATGAATACATATAAATACAAATAATATAAATATGTATAACAATACATATAAATATATTTAATTATACTTTAATTTATATTTTATTTTAATTAGATGTTAATCTTATAATACATAATATAATAAATACATATATAAATACATAAAAATAGACATATATACATATAATATAATGTAAATACATATAATATAATTTTAATTTTATTTATATTTTATTTTAATTATATTTTAATTATCTTATAAAACAATAAATACATATAATATAAATACATAGAAATATAAATACATGTATACATATAACATAATGTAAATACATATAATAATACAATTTACTTTTAATTTTATTTGTATTTTATTTTAGTTATATTTTAATTATCTTATAAAATATAATAAATACAAGTAATATAAATACATATAAATATAAGTACATATATACATATAATGTAAACATATAATAATAAATACAATTTAATTTTAAAGTTATTTATATTTTACTTTAATTATATTTTAATTATCTTATAAAATATAAATACATATGCATGTAAATATAAATACATATTGATATAAAAATGGCTGTGATCATTGCAAGGAAATATCAAATGCCCAGGAGTAAAGTTGATAATAAACACACTGAGTGACTAGAGAAGCAACTGCAGACATTCTAGGCACGTGAAAGAATCCTTTAAGTACAGAAGGTGGGAAATGCAGAAGAAAAACATCTTGAGGTCCCCAAAATCACAAAACTAAAGGGAAAATTGAAGCTGGAAACTGAGGAGTGTAAAGCTGCCTCCAGTTCTATTCAAAGTCACCTCTCTGCTCATTGACATAGATGTATATCTCATAACCCCCTTTGGAAAGGCTTATGAGACACTCAAAACAATGCAACCATTTGTGTCTCACCTACCTGTGACCTGGAGGCCCCTCTCTGCTTTCAGTTGTCTCCATCTTTCTGGACAGAACTAATGTACCTGTTATATATATATTGATGGAGGCCTCATATCTCCCTAAAATAGAAGAAGCCCAGCTGTGCCCCAACCACCTTGGCCCCATGTCACTAGGACCTCCTGACACTGTGTTGTGGGTCTACGTCCTCAACTTTGGCAAAATAAACTTTCTAAATGAACTGAGACCTGTCTCGGATATGGTGAAACCCCGTCTCTACTAAAAATACAAAAAATAGCTGGTTGTGGTGGGCGCCTGTCATCCCAGCTACTCGGGAGGCTGAGGCAGGAGAATTGCTTCCATCAGAAAGGCGGAGGTTGCAGTGAGCTGAGACCTTGTCACTGTACTCCAGCCTGGGTGACAGAGCTGTCACCTGTGCCATAACTGTCCAAGTGATTCTTCCTGCCTGCTCAGGAAGCTCAGGAAGGGTACTCAGGAAGCAAATGAACGAAGGCTTTGGCCAGGCTGTGTGGCTCATGCCTGTAATCCCAGCACTTTGGGAGGCTGAAGCGGGTAGATCACCTGAAGTGAGGAGCTCGAGACCAGCCTGGCCAACATGGCGAAACCCTGGCTCTACTAAAAATACAAAAATTAGCCAGGCACGATGCCTCACACCTGTAATCCCAGCACTTTGGGAAGCTGAGGCGGGTGGATCACCTGAGGTCAGGAATTCGAGACCAGCCTGGCCAACATGGTGAAACCCCATCTCTACTAAAAATACAAAAAATTGGTTGGGCGTAGTGGTGGGCGCTTATAATCCCAGCACTTTGGGAGGCCAAGGCGGGTGGATCACCTGAGGTCAGGAGTTCAAGACCAGCCTGGCCAACATGGCAAAACCTCGCTTCTACTAAAAATACAAAATTTAGCCAGCCATGGTGGCTCACACCTGTAATCCCAGCACTTTGGGAGGCTGAGGCGGGTGGATCACCTGAGGTCAGGAGTTCAAGACCAGCCTGGCCAACATGGTGAAACCCCATCTCTATTAAAAATACAAAAAATTGGTTGGGCTTAGTGGCAGGTGCCTGTAATCATGGCTACTTGGGAGGCTGAGGCAGGAGAATCACTGGAACCCGGGAGGCAGAGGTTGCAGTGAGTTGAGATCATGCCACTGCACTCCATCCTGGGTGATAGCACGAGACTCTGTCTCAAAAAATAAAATAAAATAAAATAAAATGAGAATCCACTGTCCCTTCTTTTTTTGGTTCAAGACACCAGGTGTGACGTTTGCAATGCAACAGTACCAGGTAGAACTGGTGATTCTTTGCACGCTGTGGTCATGCAGGTCTTCATACCTCAGAAAGAAAAGTTCTCTTTATTTATTTATTATTATTTTTTTTTTGAGAGGGCTTCTCTCTCTGTCACCCTGTCTGGAGTGCAGTGGTGCAATCTTGGTTCACTGCAAGCTCTGCCTCCTGGGTTGACACCATTCTCCCACCTCAGCCTCCCGAGTAGCTGGGACTACAGGAACCCGCCACCACGCCCAGTTAATTTTTGTATTTTTACTAGAGACAGGGTTTCAATATGTTGGTCAGGCTGGTCTCGAACTCCTGACCTCAAGTGATCTGCCTGCCTCGGCCTCCCAAAGTGCAGGGATTACAGGAGTGAGCCACCGCGCCCAGCCCTCAGAAGGAAAAGTTCTATTTATTTATTTATTTATTTATTTATTTTGAGAGGGAGTCTGTCGTCCGGGCTGGAGTGCAATGGCGCGGTCTTGGCTCACTGCAAGCTCTGCTGTCTGAGTTCAAGTGATTCTCCTGCCTCAGCCTCCCATGTAGCTGGAATTACAGGCCTGTGCCACCACACCCAGCTAATTTTTGTATTTTTAGTGGAGACAGGGTTTCACTATGTTAGTCAGGCTGGTCTAGAATGCCTGACCTCAAGTGATCCACCTACCTCGGCCTCCCAAAGTGCCGGGATGACAGGCATGAGACACTGTGCCCGGTCCTTAGAAGGAAAAGTTCTCTTTATTTATTATTTTTTAGTGGGTTTCCTTGATTTTCTCTTCTCCTGTCATAAATTCTTCCAGGAAACCTTTCCTCACTCTGAGTCCTTTCCCGGAACGTCTGATTCTATTCTAGTCACAGGGAAAGGGTACTGTGTCTGCCTTCTGTGGTTTCCTCTTGGTGAGCAGATTGCCATTTGACAGCTCATTGTGGTCACGTGTCTCTGTAGCCAAGTCAGAAGGATTTATTGAGCCTAGGAGTTCTAGACCAGCCTGGGCAACATAGTGAGACTCCCATCTCTTAAAAAAAATTATAAAATAAATTATCCATGGCTGGGAGTGGTGGCTAACACCTATAATCCCAGCACTTTAGGAGGCTGAGGCAGGAGAATGGCATCAACCCAGGAGGTGGAACTTGCAGTGAACCGAGATTGCACCATTGCACTCCAGCCTGGGTGACAGAGAGAGACTCCTTCTCAAAAAAAAAAATAAATAAAGAGGACTTTTCCTTCTGAGGTGGATCACCTCAGGTCAGGAGTTTGAGACCAGCCTGGCTAACACGGTGAAACCCCATCTCTACTAAAAAAACAAAAATTAGCAGGGCGTGGTGGTGGGTGCCTGTAATCCCAACTACTTGGGAGGCTGACGCAGGAGAATCGCTTGAACCCAGGAGGCGGAGGTTGCAGTGGGTCGAGATCGTGACACTGCACTTCAGCCTTGGGGACAAGAGTGAAAACTCCGTTAAAAAAAAAAAAAGCGGTTGGGTGCGGTGGCTCACGCCTGCAATCCCAGCACTTTGGGAGGCCGAGGTAGGTGGATCACCTGAGGTCAGGAGTTCAAGACCAGCCTGACCAACATGGTGAAACCCTGTCTCTACTAAAAATACAAAAATTAGCCGGTGTGGTGGCGGGCGCCTGTAATCCCAGCTACTGGGGAGGCTGAGGCAAGAGAATCACTCGAACCCAGGAGGCGGAGGTTGCAGTGAGCTGGGCGTGGTGACAGGTGCCTGTAATCCCAGCTACCCAGGAGGCTGAGGCAGGAGAATTTCTGGAACCCGGGAGGTGGAGGTTGCAGTGAGCTGAGCTCGTGCCACTGCCCTCCAGCCTGGGCAACAAGAGCAAAACTCCATCTCTAAAATATATGATCGAAATAAAATAAAATAAAATAAAATATGGTAAAATAAAAATGATCAACACAATGTAAATTAGACAATTTATAGTCACACAGCACCCATCGCGACCTCACCCACAGTGGGAGAGAAAAATTTAAAAAAAAAAACCATTTTAGGACGATCCCCATGAAATTGTGAAAACCAGCCACCTTCTAAATATCTGACTGCGGCTGTCAGAAAACAGACTTCAGAGAAGAATACAAATCATTGTATCCAGCCGTAATAACGAAGTTCAAAGCTGAGAGGATATGAAAAATTCATCGTCTGTCTACTTGAAACGATGGATGTAAATTATGCCACTTTGTCTGTATTTGTACAATATGTTTTCATTGGCAAATACGGGATCCGATCATTGTTTCGTTAAATACCTGACAATTCTGTAACAGTTGCAAAGATGGGTGCTTACCTCAGCGTTTCCCACTCTAGGATGGCAATAAAACAAAAATAAAGAAATAAAACAGGGTCAGAAAGAATGAGAGCCGGGGGAACCTTTATCTAAATCAGTTGCTTGGGCCAGGTGCACAGTGGCTCACACCTGTCATCCCAGTACTTTGTGAGGCTGAGACAGACGGATCACCTGAGGTCAGGAGTTTGAGACCAGCCTGGCCAACATGGTGAAACCTCGTCTCTACTAAAAATACAAAAATTAGACGGGTGTGGTGGCAGGTGTCTGTAATCCCAGTTGCTTGGGAGACTGAGGCATGAGGATAGCTTGAACCCGGGAGGTGGAGCTTGCAGTGAGCTGAAATCGGGCCAGTGCACTCCAGCCTGGGTGACAGAATGAGATTCCGTCTCAAAAAAAAAAAAAAAAGAATTTCTTGAATTCATTCTCGAGGTCAGGGTATGTGATGTGAAGCTTTCCTAAATGCTGAGAAGATGCAAATAGCGTTTTGGTGCACGTGTGCAATCCCAGCTACACGGGAGGCTGAGATGGGAGAATTGCTTGAGCCCAGGAAGTTGAAGCTACAGTGAGCTGAGATTGCACCACTGCACTCCAGCCTGGGTAACAGAGGGAGACCCTGTCTCAAAAAAAGAAAAAAAGACATGAAAATAACATTTGATGAAGAAGATGAGGAAAGCCCACACGTTAGCTTTCAAACTGCTCCAATTTTTTTTTTTTTTGAGACAAAGTCTCGCTCCATTGCCCAGGCTGGAGTGCAGTGGCATGATCTCTGCTCACTGCAAACTCTGCCTCCTAGGTTCAAGTGATTCTCCTGCCTTAGCCTCCCGAGTAGATGGGATTACAGGCGCCCACCCACCACGCCCAGCTAATTTTTGTTTTTTGGTCGATACCAGGTTTTGCCATGTTGGCCAAGCTGGTCTCGAACTCCTGATCTCAGATGATTCACCCGCGTTGGCCTTTCAAAATGCTGGGATTACTGGCGTGAGCCACCTCACCCGACATAACTGCTCCAAATTCTTAAGTCACATGAACATCAGATGCAAGTACTCATACCTCAGACAAGGCAAGAAATTATGATTTTTCATGCTAAGAAATTCTAATAGCAAAGTATCCCTTGAATAATATAGTCTGGTTATCCCAGTTTGCATATCTTTTGTTTTTTTGAGACCGTGTCTCACTCTGTCACCCAGGCTGGAGCGCCCTGGCTTGATCTCGGCTTGCTGCAAGCTCTGCCTCATAAATACGATTCTCCTTCTTCAGCCTCCTGAGTAGCTGGCATTACAGGTGCCTACCACCACACCCGGCTAATTTTTG
Organism: Homo sapiens; assembly: GCF_000001405.40. Lineage (NCBI taxonomy): Eukaryota > Metazoa > Chordata > Mammalia > Primates > Hominidae > Homo > Homo sapiens. Next base: position 1,761,258 of record NT_187383.1, on the reverse strand, counting down.
TATTTTTTTTTTTTTAAGTACAGACCGGATTTTACCATGTTGGCCATGCTGGTCTCGAACTCCTGACCTCAAGTAATCTGCCTGCTTCGGCCTCCCAAAGTGCTGAGATTACAGGTGTGAGCCACCTTGCCCAGCCTCCAGTTTGCATATGTTGCTGATAGGTTTAATTAGCTGAATGAGCCCAATTTGACAATGCAGGTGGGCAATATTGCTTTCCTGCTGCAGAGAGGGTCATAGATGAAATGACATCTATCCTCGGTATTCAAGGCAGTTGAATACATTCTGGTTTGCAATTTTGACTGATTTGGTAAGAGGTGGGGGCTGAGGAATCTCAATCCAGTTTTTTAGGTTTACTGTTTTGTTTCGTTTCTTTTTGAGACTCAGTCTCGCTCCATCACCCAGGCTGGAGTGCAGCGGTGCAATCTCAGCTCACTGCAACATCCGTCTCCCTGGTTCAAGCAATACTCCTACCTCAGCCTCCCAAGTAGCTGAGATTACAGGCACCTGCCACCATGCCTGGCTAATTTTTGTATTTTAGTAGAGACGGGCTTTCACCATGATGGTCGGGCTGGTCTCAACTTCTGACCTCAGGTGATCTGCCTGCCTTGGCCTCCCAAAGTGCTGGGATTACAGGTACGTGCCACCATGCCTGGCTAATTTTTGTATTTTAGTAGACACAGGGTTTCACCATGATGGTCAGGCTGGTCTCAAACTCCTGACCTCAGGTGATCCACCTGACTCAGCCTCCCAAAGTGCTGGTATTACAGGCATGGGCCACCGCGCCTGGCCTCTGGTTTGCAATTGTGACTGATCTGGTAACAGGTGGGGGCCAAGGATTCTCAATCTGTTTTTTTAATGTTTTTGTTTGTTTTGTTTTGTTTTGCTTTGTTTTTGAGACAAGATCTTGCTCTGTTGCCCAGGATGGAGTGCAGTGGTACAATCTCAGCTCACTGCAGCCTCCACCTTCTGGGCTCAAGCCATCCTCCTTCCTCAGCCTCCCAAGTAGCTGGGACTATAGGCATACATACCACATCTGGATAATTTTTTTTTTCTTGGTACAGACAGGGTTTCACCATGTTGCCCAGGCTGGTCTCAAACTCCTGGGCTCAAGCATCCTCAGCCTTGGCCTCTGAAAGTGCTGGGATTAAGGTCTGAGTCACAGGGCCTGTCTTTTTTTTTTTTTTCTGTTTGTTTGTTTGTTTTGAGATGAAGTCTCGCTCACCCAGGCTGAAGTGCAGTGGCGTGATCTCAGCTCAGTGCAACCTCCACCTCCCAGGTTCAAGTAATTCTCCTGCCTCAGCCTCCCGAGTAGCTGCAGTTGCAGGCGCCCACCACCACACACAGCTAATGTTTTTGTATTTTTAGTAGAGACGGGTTTTTACCATGTCGGCCAGGCTGGTCTTGAACCCCTGACCTCAAATGATCCACCCGCCTCGGCCTCCCAAACTGCTGAGATTACAGGCGTGAGTCACCACGCTAGGCCACTGTTTTTCTTTTCCTTTTTTTAAATAACTGCACCATAGCACAGCTCATGAGTGCTACAGAAAACACATGTTAAATATTTTCCACCAAATTTTGACTTTTTATTGCGGTTAAAAATAAACAAGTACCAGAAAATCAGATATTTTTGTAAAATGTTAAACACACATTATGGTTAATGTACCTGCACATTGCTTCCTGTACGGCCACAGAGTAATTGAATTTGATTCAAGTTCATTTACTCCTGCCAAATCAAGCCCCACCAAACAGGTGTTAGATGTTGTTTGAGATTCAGCTTTGAAATGTCCATTTATCTCTTCCTTTCAACTTCTGGATGTGCTGAAGTGGGGAAAATCCTGTGAGTATAATTTACATGTTACTGCTGCCTTCCATGCTACGGTATCGGAGCACATGATGAACATCTTTATATGGCACATACGAAAGCAAACTCTGAAATGAGGCCGGGCGCCTTGGCTCACACCTGTCATCCCAGCACTTTGGGAGACCGAGGAGGTCAAATCGCCTGAGATCAGGAGTTAGAGACCAGCCTGGCCAACATGGCGAAACTCCATCTCTACTACTAATACAAACATTAGCCTGGCATGGCGGCGGGCGCTTGTATCCCAGCTACTTAGGAGGCTGAGGCAGGAGAATCGCTTGAACCTGGGAGGGGACGGCTTTGAGGCCTTCGGTGGAAACGGGAATATCTTCACATAAAAACTAGACAGAAGTGTTCTCAGAAACAACTTTGTTATGTGTGCATTCAACTCACATAGTTGAATCTATCTTTTGATAAAGCAGTTTTGAAACACTCTTTTTGTAGAATCTGCAAGTGGATATTTGGAGCGCTTTGAGGCCTATGGTAGAAATGGAAATATCTTCATATAAAAACTAGACAGAAGCATTCTCAGAAACTGCTATGTGATGTGTGCATTCAACTCACAGAGTTGAACCTTTCTTTTGATAGAGCAGTTTTGAAACACTCTTTTTGTTGAATCTGCAGGTGGATATTTGGACTGCTTTGAGGCCTTCGTTGGAAATGGGAATATCTTCATATAAAAACTAGACAGAAGCATTCTCAGAAACTTCTTTTTGATGTGTGCATTCAACACAGAGATTTGAAACTTCCTTTTCATAGAGCAGTTTTGAAACACTCTTTTTGTAGAATCTGCAAGTGAATATTTGGAGCGCTTTGAGGCCTATGGTAGAAAAGGAAATATCTTAATATAAAAACTAGACAGAAGCATTCTCAGAAACTGCTTGGTGATGTGTGCATTCAACTCACAGAGTTGAACCTTTCTTTTGATAGAGCAGTTTTGAAGCCCTCTTTTTGTAGAATCTGCAAGTGGATCTTTGGAGCTCTTTGATTCCTACGGTGGAAACAGGAATATCTTCACATAAAAACTAGACAGAAGCATTCTCAGAAACTTCTTTGCGACGTGTGCATTCAACACAGAGGGTTGAACCTTCCTTTTGATAGAGCAGTTATGAAACACTCTTTTTGTAGAATTTGCAAGTGGATATTTGGAGTAATTTGAAGCCTGTGGTAGAAAAGGAAATATCTTCACATAAACACTAGACAGAAGCATTCTCAGAAACTGCTTTGTGATATGTGCATTCAACTCAAAGAGTTGAACATTTCTTTTGATAGAGCAGTTTTGAATCACTCTTTTTGTAGAATCTGCAAGTGGATATTTGGATCACTCTGAGGACTTCGTTGGAAACGGGGATATCTTCACATAAAAACTAGACAGAAGCATTCTCAGAAACATCTTTGTGATGTGTGCATTCAACACAGAGAGCTGAACCTTCCTTTTAATAGAGCAGTTTTGAAACACTCTTTTTGCTGAATCTGCAAGTGGATATTTGGAGCACTTTGAGGCCTATGGTAGAAAAGGAAATATCTTAATATAAAAACTAGACAGAAGCATTCTCAAAAACTGCTTTGTGATGTGTGCATTCAACTCACAGAGTTGAAACTTTCTTTTCATAGAGCAGTTTTGAAACCCTCTTTTCATAGAATCTGCAAGTGGATATTTGGAGCTCTTTGATTCCTATGGCGGAAACGGGAATATCTTCACATATAAACTAGACAGAAGCATTCTCAGAAACTTCTTTGTGATGTGTGCATTCAACACAGATGATTGAACCTTCCTTTTGATAGAGCAGTTTTGAAACACTCTTTTTATGGAATATACAAGTGGGTATTTGGAGTGCTTTGAAGCCTATGGTAGAAAAGGAAATATCTTCATATAAACACTAGAAAGAAGCATTCTCAGAAACTGCTTTGTGATGTGTGCATTCAACTCACAGAGGTGAACCTTTCTTTTGATAGAGCAGTTTTGAAACACTCCTTTTGCAGAATCTGCAAGTGGATATTTGGAGCAATTTGAGGCCTAAGGTAGAAAAGGTAATATCTTCATATAAAAACTAGACAGAAGCATTCTCAGAAACTGCTTTGTGATATGGTGTATTTTATCAGCAGAACGTTCGTCTGCATATGGCATTCAGAAGCAAACTATACTTTTTTCCCCCCCTGAGTCTTTTGTTTCCAAATCAATGGGAAAAAACGGATACCCCTGCTCCATTCAGGCAGTTTCAATGATTCTCAAATCAACGTGGGAGCAGTCATTGGGCCATTTAATATATATAGTGATAAAAAAAGAAAGCATACTTATTAACCTTGTAAAGATTCTATAAAAGTACAAGGGGAACCTTTATAAAGAATAGTCAAGTGTCCTTTTTATAGAATAGCCCTTTGTACTTTGAAATGTTCATGTCTATAAAATAGAACTGGACAGATGAGCCTAATGCAATTTCCATGTCTTCTAGTAATTGTTCCATTAAAACATTATTTTTCAGCACCTTATCAACCAGAAGATTAAGTTACCTCAACCCAAGATCAGTTCCACTTTAAAAAAGCACTTTTGACCCATATTTAACCAACCGTCAGAGAGTATTCAAAAGAGGGCTAATTGAGCATTGAGTGTTTGAAGCATTCAAATCAAGGCCCAGGTTTCTTCTTGAAAACAGCAACAGTGCAGCCTGGCAGGAAGCAGGGATTAGACAAAAGAATCGATTGAAACTTGCCTTCCAAACTGGAAGAAAAACTTTCAATAAGAAAGCGTGAAGTTTGAAATCACTGTATGTTATATTATTCATCTTTCAAATTGTCTCCGGCCATATTGGATGGCATTTTCTCCTCTACCCCAGCTCTGAGCTGCCACTGTAATTCACCAAGAAACCCACTTTAGCAAGAATGACCCACCCTTCAGAGGGAAGCAGCCACCTTTAGCCGGGTTCTCTTTACCACTCTATTCTGTCCGCACTCTATCTGCACTCTATCTCTTCATTCTATCTACATGTTTTGCAATTTCCTCTGGTATTCCAAGGCCAGTGAAATCACAGCCTCCAGTAAGGGTGTTAAACCCGCACATATTCACTGCTAAGCTGTATTTTTAACCCTTTTCACCCACAAATTTCAATGTTCTCTTTAATAGGTTAGCTATGGCAGACCTCATCAGAATCAAGTTATGGGAAGGCAAACTGGAAAACCTCACGGGGGATTTCATGAAGAAGAGAGAAGCCTGGGTGTTTTTCATCTAAATTCTTGTCCTCATCTCCCTTACCACTCCCAACAAATACAAGCAGTGGGAAACTAACAGTGATAATCAGTAATCTAATAAGCTCAGCCAGCCTCAAGTTCTGTTGTTGTTTTCCTTAAAACAAACAAAACAAAAATAAGCATTCTGCCAAAAATTAGAGAGAGAGAGAGAGAAGCTCTCTCCTAAAATCCCACAAGTTTGCTGCCAGTGATTCAGTACATACCTGACCAAAAAAAAAAAAAAAAAAAAAAAATTGTTGCTTAACTGGTTTGGTTGTTTCAGCTGGCTACCACCAAGAGAAGTAAACAGGACTTTATCATTTCAGTTAAGTCTGGCTTGAGCATTATTTTCAAGTAAATATTTATAATTTCAATGCTATTCCATTGCTACCACTGCTGTCTTTGGATTGGACCGACTGAAACATTGTCTTGGATTAGCCCAACTCCATAGCAACATGCCAGGAGAGGCTGCACCCTCTTTGCCTGTCCTTTCTGTGGCTGGGGAAGAGAGGAGGAGGTATTTGGTGACACTCGCCATCAGGACTTTGTAGCTCTCTTGCCAGATAGCAGCTGAATCAATGAATATCCTTCCTTTGCCATTTGGGCTCCAGCCGATCAGGATTTTTGCTGTTCACTTTGCACATCTCAATGAATTTGACACACGGACATTTTTTTTTCTCTCTCTTCATTCAGGAAGTGGAGAGCTGAGCCCTGAGTTTCTTTCTGCTCCGATGATATAAACAAATTGTAGAGGAAGTCAAGTCAAACTTTCCCTTGCTTCTTTTGTTCTCCCAACTAGCAATTCAGAAAACAGAGCCAACTTTTCTTGGATGACTTTTAAAGATTGCTCTTTAACTGGAAAGGCAGAAACCCTCTTGCTTTGTTTTGTATCTGTAAAAACAAAGATTCTCCTAAACATGTTTTGTTTTCAAAAAAGCAGAAATGCCCTAGAAGTTAAAAAAAAAAATAGCTGTTTTCTGAGACTTTTCAAACCAAATTGCTCCTTTGTCATTACAGTTACCTAATTGCTTTTTCTTTCCTTCACAAATCTCCAGGCTAAAATACAAACAAGAGAGCAATAACGATCTTTGCATGGATAATAGCTAAACCTGAATAGAAGCTTCCAGGACCCTAATACACAGCCAAGGAAAGCTAACAGTCATGATTCAATAAAGGTGCCTTGTAAGGCATGCACCAGACAGAAAGGAGACACCGTATCTGAGTAATCTACAGACACTGCTTTAAACATCACACAATTAAGTCCTTCCCATGGTGGTGGCTACTGGAAGCTTTATAGTTAGCTTGTAAGATTTCATCTCTGGGTTTCACCGATGGTTCTGAGAATGAACATTTTCAAACCAGAGGCACCTGCTAATCCAGGAGACATACTCACCACACCTATTCTCGTCCTCCAGTGAAAGAAGCTCTATGTTAAATGACTGAAGGGAAACAGAAGGGAATATGTAACAAAATATATGCAGGAGCAGCCCCGGGTGGCTTCCCATGCTGAGTGTTCTCTTACATTAATCCTGGCACACAAAAAAATGCGACAGCCACATGGATATCAATATGCCTGCATTGTTTGTCTTCCATCGGCTCTCTCTGTACACAGGTGGGTAGCCAAACTTCATCACAGCCCTATTCTCTCATGAAACATAATAGAGTTCAAACACAGGCTCGAACTGCTTCCTGAGTCTCAGTGTTCTCCTCTGTAAAATGGGATATATGGTGGCTGTGTCACATGGGTTAGAAATAATATGAGTATAGACATAGAGAGATTTCTCGGTTAATCCAATGTGTGGCTCCTGTTAGGTTCTCGATAAAAAACTGTTGTGATATTAAAATTCATAACACTATGTGAGTTCTCCTGGGTCAGGAAAAACTAGCATTGATAGAAGCTCAACCTTGCAGTATTTGCAGTTATTTCTGTCAGAAAACTTTTCCTCAGTCACGATCCTCTCCTCCCTCTTTATCTATAAATACGCACATACTGTAGATATGTATAGACTAATAGGTATATAAAATCCTTTATGCAAGTTGTAATTGACTGTGTAATTATTGAATAAACTGTGGATGAAAGGATAATGGTAGGTTCTGAAAGCCAGCTTTAATTCACATTTTATTTTATATTCATTAAACTGTTTATTTACTTGTCTACATTCTCCTCTCTGTTGATTATTTTCCAGGAATGCATTTCCCTCGAGCAATGATCAGGCTGAGAAAGTGATTTCATTTTCATTGCAAGGGAGACAGAGAAACAAACAGAAAACCCAGAGGCCACGACTTCCCGGGAGTGCTCCAGAGTGTGTGTATTGCTAGTAGAAGCTATGTGCACCTCCACACCCCGGAACTATTTTTGAAGCTTTGATGTAGAAACATGCAATACCTACAGTGACCTTAAATTTCTGTAAGACAAATATAGCATGCATTGATGCAATTGCCATATATTTATAGAATTCAACAATTGCCTTCCACCAACTTTATCAAATATCTGCTGCATGGGGACGGTGCTAGGACAGAAACATAAACAGCTCTGATTGGCCCATTATGCAGATGAAGCACATGCTTCAAGGACCAGAAAAGCAGAGAGAACCCCGTGCTCCTGCCTTACTGGCCAAATCATGCAACAAGAAAATTCAGGAAAGTTAATTTAAGTTTCAACTTACAGATTTTTTTGTCCCTTTGGAAGACATACTTTTACACTTTGTTGAGTTTTGTTTTCATTTTTATTTGGGTACAGGTCTTGGGATAGTTCGGATTTGTGTTCAGAAAATTTTTACTCCTCCCCACTTTGGAGGAATGCCCTTCCCTGACTTAGGGATGTTGGACTTGGCCATGTGACTATTGGCCAGTAAGATGTTAGCAAGCGTGATGCCAGCAAGGCAGCAAACTTGGACTCAGCCCATAACTTGAAGCCCAGCCCGGACCACCCCAGGTCATCTAAACCCCAGCTAACTTGCAAATGTTTATGTGAGAATAAATAATTACCATTTTAAGCCACTGAGTCTTGGAGTGATTTTTTGCGTTATTGTGGCAACAGCTGAGTAATGTAGGCCTCATAATATTTATAGGTTTTACTCTGGCCATGGCATACTAATACAGATCCTGGGGGAGTCATGGGGGGGTGGGGGGGTTAATTTTAAAAAATAATTCAAACTCTTGCATTACTGATTCGACTTTGTTTTGTAAATCAAGGTGAATCATTGCCTTTCATGTGCTAAATTAAATTAGATGCCCATAATGTTTCAGTACAGCAGCATATGATTAAAGAGCAAGAGATATATGAGATACTTATTTTTTCATCTAGATAAAAACTTCATTCCACAAATGCTTCATTCAGAAAAAAAAAGTTTCACTTGTTAAAGGGATACTCATTCAGCTCTTTTGTGCTGGACCTTGAAGACACAGTTTTGAGTATTAATAACTAACTCTTCTCTAGTGCTTATGATGAGCCAGGCATTGTTCTTAGTGGTTTATCTGCATCAACTCATTTAACCTTCAGAACTTAATGCAATAGTTACTATGATTGCGCCCATTCTCAGATGAGAAAACTGAGAAGCCAAGAGGGGAAATGACTTACTCGGGCTTCCATGACTTATAAGTAACAGAGCCGGGATTCAAATCCAGGCCATCTGACTTCAGAGTACATGTTTTTTACCTATCATGATAAGACATGTGTAGTTTCTATTGACAGGGAGTTTACAGAGTAAAGAGGGCAACAACTTTAAACAAGAAGACCAATCAATCATTACAAACCATGAGCAGGACCATCATGGAAAAGAGCAGGAAAAGATGGTGAAGAGTAACAGGAAGGGTCGGGCACAGCAGCTCACACCTGTAATCCCAGCACTTTGGGAGGCCAAGTCCAGCAAATCACTTGAGGTCAGGAGTTTGAGACCAGCCTGGTCAACATGGTGAAACCTCATCTCTACTAAAAGTACAGAAATTATCCGGGGCATGGCAGTGAGTGCCTGTAATCCCAGCTACTGGGGAGGCTGAGGCAGGAGAATCACTGGAACCTGGCAGGCGGAGGTTGCAGTGAGCCAAGATCGCACCACTGCACTCCAACCTGGATGACAGATTCTGTCTCAAAAAAAAAAAAAAAAAAAGAAGAAGAAGAAGAAGAATGGGGAGGACCTGTTTTAGGTGTTCAGAGAAGTCTTTTCTTATTAGGTGATATTGTCTGAAGAATGAATGGGATCAGAAGGAAAAATAGCTAGGAAAGAGAAGAATGTTCCAGGCAGAAGGAATAGCAGGGAGGTGAGTCTTGAGGCATTCTACAGGCTGGTATGTTCTCAGGACTGAAAAATGGTCATTGCTTCAGTGAGGCTGAAGGGGTGAGTATGTCTTTTACTTATTGCCATAGGAGGGTAGCTGGTCAGCAAATTTTTTGTAAAGAGCCAAATAGCAAATTCTTTAGGTTTTGTAGGCCATGTAGCCTCTAATGCAATTACTGAACTCAGACATTGTCGCACAAAAGCGTCCATGTAGAATAAGCATAGCTGTGTTCCAGTAAAACAGTATATGCAGACACTGAAATGTACCTTTCAGTGTTGCAGTTCCACAAACAGCAAGCATGTGTGTGAGAACACACAGGATGGTCACAGTTAGTGCATTTCCAACAAATCCGGTGGCCTTTCATGAATTTTTTTTTTTTTTGACACAACGTCTCACTTTGTCCCCCATGCTGGAGTGCAGTGGCATGATCTCAGCTCACTAAAACCTCCTTCTCCCGGGTTTAAGCAACTCTCAGAGTCAGCCTCTCAAATAGCTGGGGTTATAGGTGTGTGCCACCACATCCAGCTAATTTTTGTATTTTTAGTAGAGATGGGGTTTCACCATGTTGGCCAGGCTGGTCTCCAACTTCTGGCCTCAGCTGATCTGTCTGCCTCAGCTTCCCAAAGTGCTGGGATTACAGGTGTGAGCCCCTGTGCCCAGCCGCCTCTCATAATGTTTGATGCACCTTGACCTTTAACTTTCAGTGAGTTCTCTGTTGAAACAGAACACAGGTCACACCATTAAGAACAAGACAGAATTTTGAGTAAAAGTAATGAATAAGCGATTGGGTTATCTAATTATCCCATTTCTAAAGAGGAATAAATGATAGAATCACCCAGAAAAATGAAGTAAAGTTCTTGTTGACTTGACATGATGTATCGGCATCGACAAAGATAACATAAAACACATGCTCCATCTTTACAAAGAGGATGGGGACAACAAGACTGGTTAATGAGTGTCATCCTTCAAAGAGCATTAAGATTAATTGCCATGCAAGAAAACTTGAATTGCCCTGAAATCTTGGAGGTCATGTAAGAAAGAAATGTGATACATGTTTTCTCAAATTTAACACAATAATCCTAAAATTTTACAATACCTGACTAGTAATAAGTGGTGAAGCCAAAAGAAACTTTTCAAAACTGACAATAGTAATTAAAAAAAAATTTTTTTTGATCAATCATGTCAGGCACAGTGGCTCACACCTGGAATCCCAACACTTTGGGAGGATCACTTGAGGCCAGGAGTTCAGGACCAGCATGCGCAATATAACAAGACCTCGTCTCTACCAAAAAAAAAAAAAAAAATTGAATTAGTCAAGTGTGGTGGCTAATACTTGTGGTCCCAGCTACTATAGAGGCTGAGGCAGGAGAATCACCTGAGCCCAGGAGTTTGACAATGCAATTAGCATATGATCATTCCATGGCATTCCAGCCTGGGAAACAGAGTGAGACCCTGTCTCTAAAATTAAATTAAATTATATTAAAAATTACGATCAGCCATGATGGAGGAAAGACTAAATCCTCCTTCTCATAGTCACTATCTATAAAATAATAACCCAGTATTGTTAAAAGATAATTAAAGAGTTTGTAGCTGAAACATATAGGACAAAAGTATCATAGCAGGTGCCTGTAAACCCAGCTACTTGGGAGGCTGAGGCAGGAGAATCGCTTGAACCCGGGAGGCAGAGTTTACACTGAGCCAAGATCGTGACACTGCACTCCAGCCTGGGTGACAGAGCAAGACTCTGTTTCAAAAAAAAGTCAAGCAGTTAGTTAATTTTTAAAAGATGCTATTTGGGGGGGATTTTATGATATTAGTGATTTTTTCGGCTTTAAATTTTTTACAATTTGTTGTACTTTCTTCTTTTATTCTAAATAAACATTAACTTTCCTAACTAATTTTGTGTTCTTTTTCTTTCGGGAAGCCCCCAATTGTATAAGGTTGAAGACCTATAAACAGGAACCACTTCCGTTAAAGCCCCTACTATATGAGCCAAGCATATTTAGATGCTAGAAATCATTGAACGAAACAGATGGAGGTGGTTTTAAAATAGGTCCACAAATTCTCTGGCACTCCTGTCTCTGAAAGGCAGAGGTTATTTCCCTTCCCCTTGAGTGTAGGCAGGGTCCAGAGACTTGTTTCTAAGGAACAGAAGGTTGTGGGGGTGACACTGGGTGACATCCAAGACTAATCATAAAAGGCACTGGAGTTTCCTCCTTGCTGTTCCTCTTAGGAACCCAGCTGCTGTGACATGAGAACTCAAGCTGCCCTATGGGAAGGTCTGCATAGTGAGGAACGGAGGCCTCCAGCCAGCAGCCACATGCAGGAGCCTGCTCAGAAGCACGTTGTCCAACTCCAGTCAAGCCTTTAGGTGCCTCCAGCCCAGAACAACATCTTGACTGCCTCTTGACTATTCACAAGAGGCCCTGAGCCAGAACCATCCATCCAAACTGCTGTAGGATTGCTGACCTCAGAAACTGTGAGATAAGAGATGTTCGTTATTTTTCTAGCTGGCCCTTGAGACAATATTTTATTTTAATAAATAGAAAAAAATGTTTTTAAATGTTCATATTTTAAGCGAGTAAGTTTAGGGAAAATTTGTTACCAGCAAGAGATAATTAATATACTTACAAAAGTTCCAGTTTTATGATTCTTATATTCTGAAGTTTATTAAATAGACAACGAATAAATGGCTTTTGAGAATGGTGAACAGTAAAAACTTTAAGAAATGCACCAAATTATCCTACCACTTGACCCAGCAATCCCACTACTGGGTATCTACCCAGAGGAAAAGAAGTCATGATACAAAAATTAGCCGGGCATGGTGACAAGACACCTGTAATCCCAGCTACTTGGGAGGCTGAGACAGGAGAATCGCTTGAACCTGGGGCAGAGGTTGCAGTGAGCCGAGATTGAGCCAGTGCACTCCAGCCTGGGCAACAGAGCAAGACTCTGTCTCAAAGAAAAAAAAGGAAAAGAAGTCATTATACAAAAAAGATACATACACACACATGTTTATAGCAGCACAATTCGCAACTGCAAAACTGTGGAACCAAACAAAATGCCCATTAATTAATGAGTGGATAAAGAAACTGTGGCATGTATATAAATATACACACACACATATATATGTGGTATACATATCAATACATATCATATATCTATGTATCATCTGGGTGGCTTGGCTGCCTTGGCTGGCTTGGCTTGCTGGCTGGCCGGGTGATTTGGCTGTCTTGGCTGGCAAGCTGTCTTGGCTGGCTTGGTTGGCTTGCTGGCTGGGTGGCTTGGCTGGCTTGGCTGGCAGGCTGGCTTGGCTGGCTTGGCTGGCTGGCCGGGTGGCTTGGCTGGCTAGCTGGCCTGGCTGGCTTGGCTGGCTTGGCTGGCTGGCTGGCTGGCCTGCCAGGCTATGTGGCTGGCTGGCTTGGCTGGTTGGGTTGCTTTGCTGGCTTGGCTGGCTGGGTAGCTTGGCTGCTTTGGCTGGCTGGCTGGCTTCCCTGGCTTGGCTGGCTGGCTGGCTGGCTTGGCTAGTTGGCTGGCTTGGCTGGCTTGGCTGGCTTGGCTGGCTGGCTGGCTGGCTTGGCTGGCTGGGTGGCTTGGCTGGCTTGGCTCGCTGGCTGGCTTCACTGGCCGGGTGGCTTCGCTGGCTTGGCTGGCTCGGTGGCTTGGCTGCCTTGGCTGGCCGGCCATCTTCGCTGGCTGGCTGGCTTGGATGGCTTGGTGGCTTGGCTGGGTTCGCTGGCCGGGTGGCTTGGCTGCCTTGGCTGGCTGGCTGACTTGGCTGGCTAGGCTGGTTTGGCCGTCTGGCCGGCTTGGCTGGCTGGCAGGATGGCCGGCTTGGCTGTCTAGCTGGCTTGGCCGGCTTGCCTGGCTGACTGGCTTGGCTGGTTGGCTGGCTTGGCTGGTTGGCTGGCTTGGCCGGCTTTGCTGGCTGGGTGGCTTGGCTGGCTTGGCTGGCTGGCTGGCCGGGTGGCTTGGGTGGCTTGGCTGGCTGGGTGGCTGGGTGGCTTTTCTGGCTTGGCTGGCCGGCTGGCTTGGCTGGCTGGATGGCTTGGCTGGCTTGGCTGGCTTGGCTCGCTGGATAACTTGGCTGGCTTGGCTGTCTTGGGTCCCTGGCTGGCTTGGCTAGCTTGGCTGGCAGGCTGTCTTGGCTGGCTTGGCTGACTTGGCTGGCTGGGTGGCTTAGCTGGCTGGCTTGGCTGGCTGGGTGGCTTGGCTGACTTGGCTGGCTGGCTGGCTTGGCTGGCTTGGTTTGTTGGCTGGCTTGGCTGGCTGGCTTGGCTGGCTTGGCTGGCTGGCTGGCTTGGCTGGCTGGCTTGCTTGGCTGGCTTGGCTGGCTGGCTCGCTTGGCTGGCTGCCTGGCTTGGCTTGCTTGGCTGTCTCGGTGGCTTGGCTGGCTTCGCTGGCTTGGCTGGCTGGCTGGCTGGGTGGCTGGCCTGGCTTGGCCAGCCAGGTGGCTTGGCTGGCTTGATTGGCCAGCCGGCTTCGCTGGCTGGCTGGCTTGGCTGGCTTGGCTGGCTTGGCTCTCTTGGCTTGCTGGCTGGCTTGGCTGGCTTTGATGACTGGGTGGCTTGGCTGGCTTGGCTGGCTTGGGTGGCAGGGTGGCTAGCCTGGCTTGGCTGGCTGGCTGGCTTGGCTGCCTGGCTTGGCTAGCTTGGCTGCCTGGCTGGCTTGGCTGGCTTGGCTGGCTTGGCTGGCTGGCTGGCTTGGGTTGCTAGGCTGGCTGGCTGGCTTGGCTGGCATGGCTGGCTGGGTGGCTTGGCTGTCTTGCCTGGCTTTGCTGGCCGGGTGGCTTGGCTTGCTTGGTTAGCCAGGTGGCTTTGCTGGCTTCGCTGGCTGGCTGGCTTGGCTGGCTTGGCTGGCTTGGCTCTCTTGGCTTGCTGGCTGGCTTTGCTGGCTGGGTGGCTTGGCTGGCTTGACTGGCTGGGAGGCTTGGCTGGCTTGTGTGGCAGGGTGGCTAGCCTGGCTTGGCTGGCTGTGTGGCTTGGCTGGCTTTGCCAGCTGGGTGGCTTGGCTGTCTTGGCTGGCTGGCTGGTTTGGCCGGCTGGCTGGCTTGGCTGGCTTCGCTGGCTGGCTGACTGGCTGGCTTGGCTGGCTGGGTGGCTTGGCTGGCTTGGCAGGCTGGGTGGCTTGGCTGGCTTTGCTGGCTGGCTGGCTTGGCTGGCTTGGCTGGCTGGCTTGGCTGGCTTGGCTGACTGGCTGGCTTGGCTGGCTTGGCTGGCTTGGCTGGCTGGCTGGCTTGGCTGGCTGGGTCCCTTGGCTGGCTTGGCTGGCTGGCTGGCTGGGTGGCTTGGCTGGCTTGGTTGGCTGGTTGGCTTGGCTGGCTTGCTGGCTGGGTGGCTTGGCTGGATTGACTGGCTGGGCAGCTTGGCTGGCTTGGGTGGCAGGGTGTCTAGCCTGGCTTGGCTGGCTGTGTGGCTTGGCTAGCTTCGCCGGCTGCCTGGCTTGGCTGGCTTGGCCGGCTGGTGGGCTTGCCCGGCTGGCTGGCTTGGCTGGCTTTGCTGGCTGGGTGGCTGGCTGGCTTGGCTGGCTGGGTTGCTTGGCTGGCTTGGCTGGCTGGGTGGCTTGGCTGGTTTGGCTGGCTGGGTGGTTTGATTGGCTTGGCTTGCTGCCTGGCTTGGGTGGCTTGGCTGGCTGGCTTGGCTGGCTTGGCTGGCTGGCTGGCTTGGCTGGCTTTTCTGGATGGCTGGCTTGGCAGGCTGGTCTGCCTGGCTGGCTTGGCTGGCTGGGTGGCTTGGCTGGTTTGGCTGGCTTGGCTGGCTTGGCTGGCTTGGCTGGCTGGGTGGCTTGGCCAGCTTGGCTGGCCGGGTGTCTTGGCTGGCTTGGCTGGCTTGGCTGGCTTGGTTGCTTGGGTGGCTTGACTGGCTGGCTGGATTGGCTGGCTTGTCTGACTGACTGGCTTGGCTGGTTGGCTAAGCTGGCTGTGTGGCTTGGCTGGCTGGCTGGCTGGCTTGGCTGGCTTGGCTGGCTGGGTGGCTTGGCCAGCTTGGCTGGCCGGGTGTCTTGGCTGGCTTGGCTGGCTTGGCTGGCTTGGTTGCTTGGGTGGCTTGACTGGCTGGCTGGATTGGCTGGCTTGTCTGGCTGACTGGCTTGGCTGGCTGGCTAAGCTGGCTGTGTGGCTTGGCTGGCTGGCTGGCTGGCTTGGCTGGCTTGGCTGGCTTGGCTGGCTGGGTGTCTTGGCTGGCTTGGCCGGCTGGTTGTCTTGGCTGGCTTGGCTGGCCGGCTGGCTTGTCTGTCTTGGCTGGGTGACTGGCTTGTCTGGCTTGGCTGGCTGGCTGGCTTGGCTGGCTTGGCTGGCTGGCTGGCTTGGCTGCCTGGATGGCTTGGTTGGCTTGGCTGCCTGACTGGCTTGGCCGGCTTGGCTGGCTGGCTTGGCTGGCTTGGCTGGCTGGCTATCTCTCACAGGCTGCAGTGCAGCAGTATGATCTTGGCTCACTGCAACCTCTGCCTCCCAGGTTCAAGCAATTCTGCTGCCTCAGCCTCCCAAGTAGCTGGGATTACAGGCCTGAACAACCTCACCTGGCTGATTTTTGTACTTTTAGTAGAGACGGGGTTTCACCATGTTTTGCACTCCAGTATGGGTGACATAGGGAGACTCTGTCTCAAAAAAAAAAAAAAATTTATACATTGCCATACAGATTCATACACATACACTCATATTCACAAACACACAAGTACGATAAATGCAGGGGTACACACAAACCCCATCAGAAAAACACACTTCCATACAACACAGGAATGCACGCTCACACAGAAACACACATGGAAACACACATTGTCTTACAGACTCACAGACACACTCATCATCACATAAACAGGCACACACACACAGCCACACAAGCACACACCCACACCTACATCAACACACACACTCCCACACAGCACCCATGCGCTCATGCACACAGGTAGAACAGGCCTGCATTACCTGATAATACAGTTAAATCAGACGTGATGCTGCCTGCCGAGGAGACCTGGAGGCTTCCCATGAATGGGCTTTCGGACGAGAGGTCTCTGGGTGCATTTGGTGACACCCCAGGCAGTGGGGGAGACGTCCAGGATGGAAGGCCAGCCACAGCCAGCCTTGCCCGCGGATGCCATGTCCATTTGCTTCAGTAGGATCTGCATCCTGTAAACCCTGGTTCCTGCCTCTCCAGGACACCTCACTGAGGTCAGCACACTCCTCAGGTTTAGAAGGGGTCTCTCAGTGAAATTTGGAGACACCCCAGGCAGAAGGGGGGGCGCCACAGCCAGCTCTGCCCGCGGATGCCACGTCCATTTGTTTCAGTAGGATCTGCACCTTGGAAACCCAGGTTCCTGCCTCTCCAGGACACCCCACTGAGGTCAGCACACCCTCCAGGTTTACAAGCGGTCTCTGGGTACATTTGGTGACACCGCAGGCAGAGGGGGGATGCTAGAGCCATCTCTGCCCGCAGATGCCACGTCCATTTGCTTCAGTAGGATCTGCACCCTGTAAACCTTGGTTTCTGCCTCTCCAGGACACCCCACTGAGGTCAGCACCCCCCACCCCCCACCCCCAGGTTTGTCCAGCTTCGCTCTCTGAGGAGAGACCCAGAAAGACCACATTCGGTGGAATTCTGGCTATAACCTTTTGTGGCCAG
Source organism: Homo sapiens (assembly GCF_000001405.40). Classification (NCBI taxonomy): domain Eukaryota; kingdom Metazoa; phylum Chordata; class Mammalia; order Primates; family Hominidae; genus Homo; species Homo sapiens. Next base: position 1,744,281 of record NT_187383.1, on the reverse strand, counting down.
CAAGAAGGATCACCAAGCTGTCCTGTTACCTTGCTGGAGCAGTCACTGGTTTCATGCTTGGCCCCCATGCAGTGAGTGCCTGGGCCAGGCTTGATTCCTGGAGCTCCGGTGAAATTTGGGCTTGGAGCTCATGCCTGCACCATCCAGAAAGCAGAAGGCAGCCGGCCCGGGCTGTATGGTTCGTAGAATCAGAGAGAACACTGCTTGCCTTCGTGTCTGTACCACAATAAATCTGCCAACTGCCGTCAAAGTCTCTGGATTCCTGCCCCCTCATTTTATTTTGTCTATTACGGAGCGGAAGGAGTGAGAAAGATTTTGCTTCCTATTTTGTTTTGCAAAGCGCTTCTAAGAAAAACAACCCGCGTTCTGAAAACGAGATTCTGAGTGTCCCCTGGGCGTGATGAAAACAAACTTTGGGAATCCAAGGGCCTGAGAGGCAGAGTGAATGTCATTCGCATTTCCCTGCGAATGACAAAGTCACTTTTTATTTATTATTATTATTATTATTATTATTATTATTGTAGATTCAGGGGATCCACAGGCAGCTTTGTGACCTGGGGATATTGTACAATGCTGAGGTTTGGGTATGAATAATCCCGTCACCCAGACACTGAGCATTGTACATTCCTGAGGTATATAATGTGTACTAAAAATAAAATGTATATTTATATATGCACTAATGATTCAACTTGATTCCTTGTAATTAAGAAAAACAAACCCCAAATTCTAGAGGAGTTCTAGAAATATGTAAGAAGAGAGGCCAGGTGCAGTGGCTCATTCCTGTAATCCCAGCACTTTGGGAGGCCGAGGCAGGTGGATCACCTGAGGTCAGGAGTTCGAGACCAGCCTGGCCAACATGGTGAAACCCCGTCTCTGCTAAAAATACAAAAATTAGCCAGGTGTGGTGGCGGGTGCCTGTAGTCCCAGCTACTTGGGAGGCTGAGGTAGAAGAATTGCTTGAATCCAGGAGGCAGAAGTTGTAGGGAGCCGAGATTGCACCACTGCACTCCAGCCTGGGTCACAGAGCGAGACTCCACCTCAAAAAAAAAAAAAAAAAAAAAAGAAAAGAAAAAAGAGAGAGAGAGAGAGAGAGAAAAAAAACAAACAAGCAAGAAAATGCAACAGAAAAATCCATGACCCAAAGATCTCTCCAGTTGCTGCCTTCTGCCTGAAATTCAAAGAATCTCAGGGTAATTTTTCAACCCTTGTACCCCCACCCCTGCTTCCTGATCTATTAGTCCTGAGGGTCTGTGGTGCCCCTTCATTGTGTCCAGGTGCAGGCAATGTTTAGCTCCCACCTATAAGCGAGAACATGTGGTGTTTGATTTTCTGTTCCTGGCGTTAATTCACTAAGCATAGCGCCCTTCAGCTTCATCCATGTGACTGCAAAGGGCATGATTTTATTCTTGTTCATGGCTGTGTAGTATTCCATGATGCGGAAGGACCACATTTGCTTTATCTAATTGAGAACATGTGGTATTTGATTTTCTGTTTCTGGCATCAATTCACTAAGCATAATGCCCTTCAGCTTTATCCATGTTGCTGCAAAGGGCATGATTTTATTCTTGTTCATGGCTATGTAGTATTCCATGATGCGGAAGGACCACATTTGCTTTATCTAGTGAAGAACATGTGGTATTTGATTTTCTGTTCCTTGTATTGAGTCACTAAGCATAATTCCCTTCAGCTGCGTCCATGTGGCTGCAAAGACATGATTTTATTCTTTTTCATGGCTGTGCAGTGTTCCATGGTGTAGAAGGGCCAAAATTGCTTTATCCAGTCAAGAACATGTGGTATTTGATTTTCTGTTCTTGTGTTAATTCATTAAGCATAATGCCCTCCAGCTACATCCATGTGGCTGCAAAGGACATGATTTTATTCTTTTTCATGGCTGTGTAGTATTCGATGCTGTAGAAGAACCACTTTTGCTTTATCCGTTACCCCACTGATGGGCAACTGGGTTGATTCCATGACTTTCCTATTGTAAGTCATGCTGTGATGAGCCTTACAGGGCCGGGCACTGTAATCCCAGCACTCTGGAGGGCCGAGGTGGGCAGATCACCTGAGGTCAGGAGTTCAAGACCAGCCTGATCAACATGGTGAAACCCTATCTCTACTAAAAATACAAAAATTAGCCAGGCATGGTGGCACATGTCTGTAATCCCAGCTGCTCAGGAGGCTGAGGCAGGAGAATCACTTGAACCCAGGAGGCAGAGGTTGCAGTGAGCCGAGATTGCTACTGCACTCCAGCATGGGCAATAGAGCGAGACTCCATCTCAAAAAACAAAAAACAAAAAACAAACAAACAAAAAAAACAAGGAATTTTACCATGCATGTGTCTTTTTGGTAGAATGACTTCTTTTCCTTTGGGTAGATGCCCAGTCTTGGAATTGCTGGTGCAAATGGTGGAGCAGTTTAGATTCAGGAGGTACATGTACAGGTTTCTTACATGGGTACGATGTGTGATGCTGAGGTCTAGGGTATGAGTGATCCCATCACCCAGGTAGTAAGCATAATACCCCACAGTTGGTTTTTTCAACTCTTGTCCTTCTACATTCCTCTCTCCCCCTAACTAGACCCCAGTATCTGTTCCCTTCTCTGTGTCTACATATACACAACATTTAGCTCCCACTTATAAGTGAGAACACGCAGCATTCTGTTAATTTACTTAAGATAATGGCCTCCACACTGTTCACAATAGCAAAGATGTGGAACCAACCCAAATGCTCATCAGTGATAGACTGGATAAAGAAAATGTAGCACATAGACACTGTTGGCTGGGAGCGATGGCTCACACCTGTAATCCCAGCACTCTAGGAGGCCGAGGTGGGTGGATCACCTGAGGTCAGAAATTCAAGACCAGCCTGACCAGCATGGCGAAACCCCGCCTCTACTAAAAATACAAAAACTGGCCGGGCGTGGTGGTGCATGGCTGTAATCCCAGCTACTTGGGAGGCTGAAGCAGGAGAATTGCTCCAACCCAGGAGGCAGAGATTGCAGTGAGCCAAGATCGTGCCACTGCACTCCAGCCTGGGCAACAGAGTAAGACTTGGTCTCAAAAAAACAAAACAAACAAACAAAGCACATAGACACTGTGGAATACTATACAGCCATGAAAAAGGATGAGTTCATGTCCTTTGCAGGGACATGGATGAAGCTGGAAACCCTCATGTTCAGCAAATTGACACAGGAACAGAAAACCAAACACTGCATGTTCTCATTCATATGTGGGAAGTGAACAATGAGAACACATCGACCCAGAGAGGGGAACATCACACACTGGGGCCTGTTGCAGGGGTGGGGGACTGGGGGAGGGACAACATTATGAGAAATACCTAATGTAGATGACGGGTTGATGGGTGCAGCAAACCGCTATGGCAGATGTATATCTATGTAACAACCCTGCACATTCTGCACATATACCCCAGAACTTAAAGTAGAATAGAAAAAATAAAAAATAATAAAAATAATTAAAAAAGATAATGGCCTCCAGCTACATCCGTGTTGCTGCAAAAAAACAAAAAAACATGATTTTGTTCCTTTTCAGGGTTGCGTAGTATTCCATGGTGTAGCTGTACTGCATTTTCTTTGAGGGTGGAGGGTGGGAGGAGGGAGAAGATCAGCAAAAATAACCTGTGGCTGGGTGTGACAGCTCACACCTGTGTTCTCAGCACTTTGGGAGGCCGAGGTGGGTGGATCACCTGAGGTCAGGAGTTTGAGATCAGCCTGGCCAACACGGCAAAACCCTATCTCTACTAAAAGTACAAAAATTAGCCGGGCATGGTGGTGCACGACTGTAATCCCGGCTCCTCTGTAGGTTGAGGCAGGAGAATCCCTTGAACCCAGGAGGTGGACATTGCAGTGAGGCAAGATCGTGCCACTGCCCTCCAGCCTGGGCCACAGAGTGGGACTCCATCTCAAAAAATAATCATAAAAATAATAATAATAACCTGTTAGGCTTAGGACCTAGGTTGATTCCATTACAAAAAAAAAGAAAAGAAAAAACTATCTTTTTAAAAGAAGGATCTCTCTGTTCAAAAACAAAACCAATGCCCTGTCAGGAAAGATGTTCTGTGTTTTTCTGGTAAAGCTGGAAGGAACCTACAAGAAGGAGTCACCCCATAAAATTAGTGGAGCAGCATTGCCTTTTGGGGTGAGGGCTGCTTCTGATAGGCCACCAGGATGAGTGCCTTCCTGGGGAGTGTGGTTCATCCTAAACCATCCAGGAAGCAATTCCTGCCCCCAAATCACCTGCCAGCTTCTGCCCTGTAAGTAAAATCCCCAGCAAGCAGGCAGCAGGGAGCTGCTTGCCTTGGAAGGCAGCTGAAGTCTCTGCCCACCACCCAGACTGTGTCCTCTGGGCAAGGCCAGGGCTTCCAGTTGGATGGTTTTCACATTAGCGGCTGCTGTTTAGAGTCATCAACATTGGCCAGGCGCGGTGGCTCATGCCTGTCATCGCAGCACTTTGGGAAGCCGAGGCGGGTGGATCACAAGGTCAGGGACCAGCCTGGCCAATATGGTGAAACTCTGTCTCAACTAAAAAAAAAAATACAAAAATTAGCTTGGTGTGGCTGGGCATGGTGGCTCATCCCTGTAATCCCAGCACTTTGGGAGGCCGAGGTGGGCGGATCATGAGGTCAGGAGATCGAGATCATCCTGCCTAACACGGTGAAACCCCGTCTCTACTAAAAACACAAAAAATTAGCCAGGCACGGTGGCAGGCACCTGTAGTCCCAGCTACTCGTGAGTCTGAGGCAGGAGAATGGCGTTAACCTGGGAGGCGGGGTTTGCAGTGAGCCCAGATCGCGCCACTGCACTCCAGCCTGGGCGATATAGAGTGAGACTCTGTCTCAAAAAAAAAAAAAAAAAAAATTAGCCTGGTGTGGTAGTGGGCACCTGTAATCCCAGCTACTCAGGAGGCTGAGGCAGGAGAATTGCTTGGACCCTGGAGGCAGAGGTTACAGTGAGCCGAGATCGCACCATTGCACTCCAGCCTAGACAACAGAGCAAGATTCTGTTGCAAAAACAAACAAACAAACAAACAAAAAGAATCATTCACATTGCCATGGCCCAATCTCTTCCCAGACTTGTCAAATCTTTACCACTGGACCTCCATGTTCTAGTTTCAAAGCTCTGCTGGCCACAGTGGCTCATGTCTGTAATCCCAGCACTTTGGGAGGCTGAGGTAGGAGGACTGCTGGAACCCAGGGGCGTGAATCCATCATAGGCAACATAGTGATAATAGTGTTAAATGAGAGCCCGTGTCCAGTAATTCCCCAAATATCTGAGAATTTTCTTTTCTCTAAGTCAGTCATCCTGATAGAAGGCTGTAGGTCCCTTTGGGGAAGACTGGGAAAAAGATTAACAATGTAAATTTTTGGCAATGTAGCAGCGTACTTCCCCAAGATCACCCAGCCTCCCCTTCACTTAAGGGGTTGTGGCCTGTGAACTGGCTCAAGTCTGGGAATTGATTGAGGGTTTTAGATCTGTGTTTCATTAATTTGAGTTAGTCTTTTATTCAGTTGACCTAGAATTCTTCATTTTTTAAAGAACAACTAAGACTTTGGTACAGCCCATTAGCTCTCCCTGTGGATACCATGGACTACACAATGCTGTGGGTTTCTGTGAGTCAAACCATTCTGACTGCTGCTTTGACACTGCTTTCCACTGTGGTGACCACACCCACCTCATCTTTGGTGATTAAGGACAGCCCATGTTCCCTGCCACCCCAGGATTCAATTATCCTCATTTTATTTAAAGATCCCAGTCCAGTGGCTGCAGTTCCTGCTGTTAACATTTTGCCTACTGAGAGCACAAGCTCAAAGCTCTTCCAGGATACTGGGCTCCTCTCACAATATTCTTTCTCACGATCGTTGTGAGAAGTATGTTCCGTAGACCCTCCAGTGTGAGTGAGCAGGTCTGACATAATAAATCCAGTCTCCCTGAGTTTTTGCCTACCTTCCTGTACACATAAACCAAGGAAGTTGTGGCATCTCAACTTTATGTACCTTAGGTAAACTCTGATTCTGTTTCAGCCAACCAACCAAGACACCAAACAAATAAGCAAACAGCCAACTAATCAACCAACAAGCAAGCAAGCAACAAACCAACCAAACAACCAAGCAAGGAAGCAAGCACCAACCAACCAACCAAGCAACCAACCAAGTAACTGATCAAACCAACCCTTGGAGCCCTTTCTAAAGATTTGACCTACAACCCTGAATCCAGAATCTCTGTTTAGTGGGCCAACATTAATAAATTTAGCTGAATCCAACTTTATGTTACTTCCACCATGGTGCCACACACTTAATATCCATTCCCACATATATTCTCCAGATTTCTTTCTGTATAAATTGTGTGTGTGTGTGTGTGTGTGTAGAAAGAGAGCATTGACTGAAAAATCACACTATTTTATAAACTTAGAAAAGAGATCTTTATTTCTTATAAAGGTTTGCAGCCTGCAAGGTGGCCCTTATGACAGGCTGGGAAGTGTGGCCTACAGCCAAGGCCAGAGGCAGGCATTTCCAGTGAGGAAGGAGAGGACAGGAATTTGAGCCGAATGAGTTGGCTACATATACATACTCAATAGGATATCAGAGGAGCTATATCATTTTATGAGAATACTCATAAGAGAGGACGTAACAGATGCATATTCAATAAACATGCATGTTCATTCTGGGGTGGAGACTTGACATTTAAATGTATTATAATTAGGCCCTACACATCAGAAAGTGAAGCAGGGACATGAAGGTACTCAGCCTCTGTAAAGGCACAGCCTCTAAAACTGGCCAGAACCAGTCCCTGGAGGATGGTCTCTTATCAGGAGAAAGTTATTGAAATCAGTCCCTTGTCCAGTGAAAGCTGTCATTAAGGTTGGTGGGGCAGGAGATCAGTTACTCAGCATCTGTGAACTGGGTGAGTTGTAACTGTTTTAATCTTGCTTCTGTCACAGCCAGTGCTTGCTTGGCTGCTAGAGAAAAATAAAAACCATGTGGTAGTTAGAATCTAGTTTATGCTTTAAGAGTAGGGGACAAGACTTAACCCTCGCCTGGCATGGCCCTAGGTCCTGTTTATAATTTGGGGTCTTATTGCCACAAAGAGTCTGTTCTGTCAGTCTCATGATCTCTATTTTAACATTAATGCTGTTCAGTCATTGGGTCTAAACCATAAGAGGGAATGAGGTACAGGGAGGTATGTCTGACCTCCTGTCCTGTCATGGCCAAGAACTGAATTTTAAGATTTGAGGTTCCATTGGCCAAAAGGGGGTCTGCTAAGTCGGGTGGGGGGCTTAGGATTTTATTTTTAGTTCTCAAGGGAGATAAAATAATTTAATCCATTGGCCCCTGTGACTGTGGGACTAACATGGCTATGATCTGTCGGACAGACTTCAGGCTGGCACCCAGGCAAAATTCTGTGCTGTAGTAAATGCATCATGCACATTTGTAACAACACGTACATAACAATGTCACAAAATACTTTCATGGTGACACCTAGATTAGTGTTTTATTGAATAGCTGATGATATAAACTGGCTCATTTGGTGCCAAGACTGACCATCACCACCATACCAAGGTCATCACTGATCAGAGGCCTAACCCAAGGAGGGGGTCATGTGCAGGCCCAGCGGTGGGGAGGAAAGATGCCGCAGAGGAGACGGATGCCCACAGAGGCCCCTGAGCGGATACCATGCTCACTAAGTGGTAAGTATAGACTCAACGTAGGCTGTAAGCTCTCCCCCTGTGCAAATGGGACCCCATCCACTTGAGAGTCAAGGGTCTGTTTGGGTGGCAGGGTTAGCCACTTCTGAAGGTAGAAAGGAAAATAAGCCACCAAATTGGTACCTTTCTGTGAAATGGACATCGTGCTCAGAATCTCCATTTTCCCCACAACCTGGAGGAATAAGTACTGTCATCTGCATTTTATAGCTGAGGAATCTGACTGAACAAAATTGAATTACTCGCCTAAGCAATTAGCAATTAACCAAGTCTTTCTGACTCAGAAACCCAGCTGTTGCCTGTTCATATCCAGCCCCCTGTATTGGTGTCAAGATCTGGCCTGTTCTCAATGCAGCAAGATCCAGGCAGATCACACTGGACTCCCAGCACTGAATCTGGCTCAAGGGGACATCAAATTTGACTGGGTCATGGGGCTCAGGAGCATCACTCTCAAAAATAGCAGTACAGGAAGAGGCGATGGCCCTAAACAGCACTTGCAGGCAGATCCCATGTTAATCGTAAGGGTCAGGACTCTCTCACTTTTCTGTCTCTCTCTCTGTCTCTCCTCTAGGGCTGACCCCACATTGGACACCACTGCTTCCATGTCGATCACACACCACAGCTGCCTTTTCTTCTGCCTGCTTATGGGAAAGTCCCCTCCTCTCCTCCGTTTTCTTCTCTTCCTGCCCTATCACACCGTGCACTTCTCCCTTTCCTTAAAGAACCACCATCAACTTTAGGAGGAGGGAAAGGGGTGGCTCTGGCAGGAAAAGCCAGAATCCCCTCTAGCCAACAGAGAGAGAGAGGAATGGCTGCATGTTTTCTCCCTCAATCCAAGGCACTGGGTCTTGGCTGAGTTGCAGGTTCCAAGCTGCTCTCCTGCTGTGTCGGTGAGTTCTGGTCAACCTGCAACCTCCTGACGTGGCCACTGCAGTTCATCGAGTCTTCAGGGACTCCCCATGGCCTAGAGTACTTTGCCTTGCTTACACGGGAGAGGAGAATGGATTTATAGAGAACATCATCTAAATCCAACTTGACCATTGTGTGGCCACACTTGCTAGATTGCTATAGTCTAAATCTAGCATTGTAGAAAGACGGGGGAGCTTGGAGCTGCACAAACCCAGGTCTGGAAATGGCTCCTTACCTTGGAAGGTGAATGATCCTGGCAGGACTTAGCCTCCCTGGGCCTCAGTTTCTTTATCTGTTTCATGGGAATGAGGATCTCTGCTGGTTGGTTGGGTGATGCGGGGGCTGTGTGAAAACAGCTTGTCAATACAAGCCGAAATAGAAATATTTCTCCACAGAGTATGAAGGTCAAATGAGAGAATACATTTAAATTAAATGGAAAATTAAAATGGCAAAAAAGGCAAAGCTGTATTCAAAGTTCCGAGCTTCTCTATAAGGAGCTTTTTGACTATGTGAGAATCCTGTACTCGTTCCCCCTAAATACAAAAAAAAAAAAAAAGTTGAAGGAGGCAGAAGGGAGAGTGATGCACGATGGGCGAGGACTTCACCTGCTGTTGCTGGCTTTGAGGATAGAGAAAGAAGGCCACAAACCTAGAAGCTGGAGCCCCTAGAAGCTAGAAAAGGCAGGGAGCCGATTCATCCCTTAAGCCTCCAGAAGGGACATAGCCCCGCTGGCACCTTGATTTTAGCCCAGTGAGATCCTCTTAGGAATTTTGGCAACCAGAACTATAAGACAGAAATGGAAGCCACTGAGTCTGTAGCTGTTTGTTGCAGCAGCAATAGAAAACTAATGCAGAGCCCAAGAAATCACTGGTGATGAGATGGGGAAAGTGGGCTCAGGAGGTCTGGATCTGTGATGAGATGGGGAAAGTGGGCTCAGGAGGTCTGGATCTGTGATGAGATGGGGGAAGTGGGCTCAGGAGGTCTGGATCTGAGGTGCGGATCTGGAGTGGAAGGGGAATTCATTTGTTCATTGTCTATCCTTTTGCATTGATTGAGTTTTTTTCTATATATATGTGTGAATTTTCACAATAACAGTTTTTTCCAAAATAAAATAAAAGAACAAAAGGGGCTTTTTGCAACCCAAATCCTATCTATGTCTGAGTCCACTTGTATTGAATGAGTCTTTCTGCTAACGTCCTTATATTTGGGTGACAATCTGAATGGCAGTGACCAATCAGAGCAGAGGCAAACCTTGGAGTGGGCAGGGCATCCTGAGGGCCCTGATTCCTGCCATGAGTCATAACTCTTTAGGTGCCAGACCATGGGGAGGTCCAGGGGTTGCAGGGGAGGGCTGTGCATCTGCAATGACTCTCAGGGGGCTCCTGGTGGTGGCAATTGGTGAATCTGCACAGTGGTGTTTCAATATTGTCACAACCCTGCTGTCTCTCATGCTCTCAAAAAGCATTCCTCTTACCTGTGACAGACTTCCTACACCTAACAGCTTGCAAAAGTGTTCCAGGTTAATGAGAATAATCTCTCGGAGCCATACCTCCCTGCTTGGGGTCTCAGTTTCCCCAACTGTCTCCAGACAAGTTAGGCTAGAAGGCCCCTGAGCCTCAGCCCCTCTATACCCCTCCTGTCACCCAGACCTGATCTGGGTCTTGCACCCTGGGTGCAGCATGACAGGGGTGGGCAGGGGCTGGCTCTGGGCCAGAGGACCCTTTCTGATGGACTTCAGCTGTTGGCCTTGCATGGGAGACAGATCAACCGCACAAGAGTCATACGGTGAGTAGCCGTGGGCAAATCCATCCCCCTCGTCTTAGATTTATGGGGAGACAGACAAAGAGGAGACACTCCAGGAAGACCTGCAGGTGGGAGTACCAGGTTGAAACCAAGGACACCTTCCTGGAGGAGCTGCTGCTTGAGCCAGCTCTGAGAACAGGTGGGGACAGGACTGGAGAGGAGGAGGGGGTCCCCTATGAGCAAAGACTGGCCACCACCCCACCTAACACCCCCACAGGGCCCCTGTGGCATCCCTGTCCAGTCCCTGTCACCACCCAGTTTTTCCCTCTGGACCCAGGAATTCAAAGTAAGCAAGGAGGTCCGCTGCTCCAGTTGGCTGCAAATAATTACAACCTTAAGCCCAAGCAGCACTTTGGGTCCTGGTTTGGGACCATGAAGCGACTCGGTGAGACTGAGAGGTAAGGCCAGGGCAGGAATTGGGACAGTAGGATTGAACTCTCCCTGGGGGCCAGCCTCAGAAAGCCTGTGGCCATAGCCTCTTGGCCAACATCAGATCCTGTGGTCTGGCAATGCCTGGGGTACCCAGACCTCACTCTGGACAGGCCCTGGGAGGGGGCCCTGGTGAGATTCCTGGCAGCCTCACAGCCACTCTTCTGTCCGTAGCTACAACCTATCATGCCAGCTGGAGGCTCCATCCCAGTTGGCTGGGAGCACAAAGGCCAGGAAGATAGACATCACCCACCACAGGGGCCAGTCGGGGCCTGAGCCAGGGCGGGCAGAGGTTGGCTGCCTTGGGATATGGGTGGGCTCAGGGAGTCAGACAGCAAGGGACTAGCCTCCCATCCTACTCCTGACCAGACCTGTGACTGGGGAGAGTCACCTTACTTCTCTGGGCCTCAGTTTCCCCCTCTGTGGAGTGACGCTAAATGATCTCTCTGGAGACGGGGATCAATAGGGCACTGGTGATTGACCAGGCACTCAGCACATGCCTGGAACACACAGTGCAGGACTGTGGTGGGGAGGTGGCCTGAGATCCTGGGGAGTCACCCATGTGTGCCTGCCCTTCCGACCAGCCACCAGGCCCTCAGGGCAGAGCCCACTACCAGCAGCAGCTCACACCCCGAGACCAGCTCAGAGGCGGCCCCTACCTCAGCAGCAGGGACATCACGGACACTTTAAGCTGGTACTAGGGTGGCTTCTCCAGCTCCCACGTGGAGAGGGGTCCCAGCTGAGTCCCACTCACGTGGAGTCTCATGCCCATGAAAGCGCCATTCACCACTGGCCAGGCTCATGAGGCCGCATGAGAGGGGGGTCACTGGGGAGGAGATATCGGGGGAACAGAGAGGATGGCTGAATTTTTGTATAATAGGCAGTGCAAGTGTTTACCGTTTGGGAGGGGAAAGGTTTGTTATTATTAGCAATGCTACACTTGAATATTATACTAAAATCCAGTCTCTCTATAACCTGGGAGTTGCTCTTTTGTTCTTTCTTTTCCTGTCTTAATTAAAATGAGATGCAGACTCTCACGGTCCACAGTCAATTAAGAAATCTTGCACGGCCATCAGGTTATGTCTTGGAGAGCAGAGTTTCAGTACCATCAGCCTGGCAAGGAGCTGGGCCTGCTCCTCAGAGCTCCCGGGACTGCGAGATTTGGCATGTTCACAGGGCACCGTCACAGCCTCTGAAACATGCTGTCTTTAAAGACTTTTGCCGTGGCTCACTCACTCACAGTGGGACACGGTGGCTCACTCCTGTAATCCCAGCACTTTGGGAGGCAGAAGCGGGTGGCTCACTTGAGGTCAGGAGTTAAGAGACCAACATGGCCAACATGGCAAAACCCCATCTCTACTAAAAATACAAAAAATTAGCCAGGTGTGGTGTCAGGTGCCTGTAATTCCAGCTACTCAGGAGGCTGAGGTAGGAGAATTGCTTGAACCCAGGAGGCGGAGGTTGCAATGAGCAGAGGTCACACCACTGCACTCCAGTCTGGGCAACAAGAGCAAAACTTCATCTCAAAATAAAAAAACAAAACAAAACACAAAGACATTTGCAAGGACCATGTCCTCACCCAGAATGGTGCCTGCCTTTCTACAGTTTTTCAGGAAGAGGAAACATTTTCTGCTTCTCTCGCTGAGGTTTTTTTTAACCACCCATTAGGAACCTATAGATTTCAGGATCGAACACTGGGATTCCCTCAGCACTAAAGGAGGAAAATTGCAAACAGAGCTGGAAGTGCAATGTGGAAAGGTCAGGCTGAGGAAGGTTCTTAGCCAGTAGACCAAGGGCAGGAAGGACACTGCCTCCTCAGTCTCCCACTAGGGAACTTGTGATTCTTGTCCCCTGATGTCAGAATTCCTTGTCATGTTTGTTTTGTCTCCAAGGGAAGGGTTTGAATTTCAGAATTTAAGGCTAGAGTGGGCCTCGTGCAGTTAACATTAACCCTCTCTCTCCTTCGCTGGCCGAGGTGAGGTCCAGGACCATGTAGTTCTGACGTCCACTCTCTCGGGGGATCACCAGTTCACCCATCTCACCCGGCAAGCTGGGCCCTAGTTTGGCGACAGGCATCTTCCACCCACCTGGGAGGCAGGGTTCAACACTCTGCCTCTGACCTTGTTTCCTTCTTCTGCCACCTGCTTAGGCAACCAGAAGGGGTTGTCCAGCCAGCACCTGGGCTTTAGCGCTCCTCAACCAGGTGGAGGAAGTTTCAGGCACCTGGCTCCTCAGGTGTCTGCCATCCAGGTGCTCTTCAGGCTTGCCCAGCAGAGCTCTCTTGATCCAGCTAGAACTGGCCAGAACTGACTCACTCAGGAATGTGTAGACTTTGGCATCAGGGGCTGCTTTAATTTGCACAATTTCCAAATACCTCTTTTTTCTTCTTTTTCTGATGAGTCATCTCCCTAGACTTGCATTTTAAAGAGATAGATAGTTATCAGGTTCCAGAGAAGACGTGGTAGAACATTTATATCTCAAAGACACAGAGCTGAGACTTCAGGTTGAGATATGATAATTTGCCTAAACCAAAAAGGAAGGTGTAGGTAAAGTTCTAGTCAAGACAGGATGGCCAGGAAAAACACCTTAAACCAAAGGATGGCTTGCTTTGCTGATTTAAGCCAATGGCTTCTTTATCATAAGACTTCCCAGTGATTTAGTCCTCCCTCTCTTCCAGTGCACAGAGACATACCCCTCCTTACAAATTAAAAATGTTCTTTATAGATGGAAATTTATTTTACAAAAATGTTTCAAAATAACCAGATGAAAATCATCCTTATGCCAGAAAGACTTTATTTTTTTATTACTAGAAATGAAACACTAAGTATTTGTTGTATTGACATACTTAGGCTTAGACCTATGTTTAACAAGAAAGCCTTAATAATAGCACTGTGGTTAGACTCTAGCCTATTTTTCCAAACCATCATTTTATTATTAAGGAAACAAAGGATCAAATACCTTTCATTCATCTGATATGATCCTTTAAAACACATTCCACCAATAAGTCCTATTTGGAACAGCTGAAAATCTTTTAATAAAACTTTTTAAAGATGAACTCATGGCTTAGTGTAAATTTCACAAGCTTAATTAGGTCAAGTGGAAGGAACTCAGATGAGTAGTTGCCCAATCAGAGGCCATTATTTGTAAGTCATCAGCCCCCTCCATGACCTTAAAACTCCACTCTGACCTAATTATTGCAAACCTATACACAACAAAGTGAAAGGATTAATTTTCATTCATCAACCTCTCAATCCCAGATTTTCAAAGAAAAAAACCTGTGTAAGGAATACTTACCAAAACCAGACAGGAAAATTAGAGCCTGCATACTTAAGAGTCAAATTTGTTCCACTACAGCCAGGTCGCATACAGTTACATCATTTGGTTCTTCATACACTCTAGAACTGACCAGGACAGAGTTTAGCATAGAAAAACTGTAAGAAATAGGTTCTGAAACATAGAAATTGCAAAGTTCAAAAGGCTATGAAAAAAACGAATGTAAATGAGACTTCCCTCCCTTTGTTTTAAATAAATAGACCCATCAGAGAAATGCAAATCAAAACCACAATGAGATACCATCTCACACCAGTTAGAATGGCGATCATTAAAAAGTCAGGAAACAACAGGTGCTGCCGAGGATGTGGAGAAATAGGAACACTTTCACACTGTTGGTGGGACTGTAAACTAGTTCAACCATTGTGGAAGACAGTGTGGCCATTCCTCAGGGATCTAGAACTAGAAATACCATTTGACCCAGCCATCCCACTACTGGGTATATACCCAAAGGATTATAAATCATGCTGCTATAAAGACACATGCACACGTATGTTTATTGTGGCACTACTCACAATAGCAAAGACTTGGAACAAACCCAAATGTCCAAAAACGATAGACTGGATTAAGAAAATGTGGCACATATACACCATGGAATACTATGCAGCCATAAAAAATGATGAGTTCATATCCTTTGCAGGGACATGGATGAAGCTGGAAACCATCATTCTTAGCAAACTATCACAAGGACAAAAAACCAAACACCGCATGTTCTCACTCATAGATGGGAATTGAACAATGAGAACACTTGGACACAGGAAGGGGAACATCACACACCAGGGCCTGTTGTGGGGTGGGGGGAGGGGGGAGGGATAGCATTAGGAGATATGCCTAATATAAATGATGAGTTAATGGGTGCAGCACACCAACATGGCACATGTATTCATATGCAACAAACCTGCACATTGTGCATGTGTACCCTAGAATTTAAAGTATAATAAAAAAATAAAAAAAGAAAGAAATAGATGTTCTGTAAAAATATACACAATTTTTACAGACAAATACATTTATAAGTTGTTTTTATCTTAAAAATTGGGGATATTTCATATTTATAACTAATTATTGAGCCTTAAGTTTTCTTGGCCATTTCTAGGCTAATAAACTAAGAATCATGTAAACTAAGCCAAAGTAGAATAGTCATAAAAGTCCTGAACACTTCAACTTCCTATTCTTCAAGAAGTATACTTGGCAAATCTCATTTGAGAGAGGAAAAGCTTTCCTCCACCCTCTGTTTTACAGCGCTGAGGCTTCTCATCACATTTCTATGACTTGTAGCTTAATCCATGTTACATGGTCACTGGCATTATTAGTGCTTCTCTTTTAACACTGTAGGAATTAATCAATTTGGTGGTGTATTTAATTAATTCTATCACTAGAGGATTGTAAAATTACATATATGAATACCTCACTTTAGAGGCCACTTAATTTTTTTCCAAGGGGATATTTGACTATATTTCACTTGTGTCTTAATGATTTTATAATTTAAACCCTAAATTATAAATCTAGAATTTAGAAAGTATATTTCCTCACTGGATTACATTTTTGGAAATATTATTTTATATGTGCACAAATATTACAAAATCACTGTAGACACCTGAAAACTATATTATCTTTTAAAGGCAATATTCTACATTAAACTGCTATAACAAAATTGTTTGGTGCATTTTTTCTAGTACATTTTGTATATATTACATGTTTAACCTTTTTTTTATCCAGCAAATAATTTTTGAGTATCCACTAAGTGCTAGGTTCTGCATGACTAACTGAATTTAAAGAGTGAAATAACAGACATGGTCTCAGACAATACAAATTAACATTAGGTCACCTATTTATATATTTTTAAATGGTAATTATGAAAACTTTTTGAGATTTTTAACTAGATAACATTATAATAACACACTTGATGTTGTTAATATTTGCCAGTGAGCAAAAAAGAAAATAAAAAGATGGTTTTATTCAATATACACTTTAAAATTGCAGGAAATAGTCAAGTTTCTCTGCTTTGCAGTTGAATGTCTATGTGTTTTTCTCTGCAACTTGGCTTTTGTGGAGTGAGAGAAACAATTATTCTTCCAGCCCAATGAAGGCAGAAGAGTAACAATAAATCTAATATTTTAAATGCTTATCAAAAGGTAGTAAACATATTATTTCAGAATACTGAGATCAATAAGTTGACCTAGAAAAAAAGCCAAACTGACAGTATTACTGAATAAGGAAAGGCCCAAAGAGACAAAATACTTATTATTTTGTAACCTCGGTATGACACAACTTACCCTAACTATAAAGACCCTAAATTACCAAGATGGGTGCTTATAATATGGAGAGTAAAAAAAGTCATTTCACTTTTAGCTTTTTTATTTCTCTCAGAATAAAAAGTGTATAAGGAGTTGATAAAGAAGTTGATACTATAAGTTAGTACTACAATGACAGCACTTTTCAAGAAAAGACTTTTTTCTCTCTTACAAATATCATGTTAGCAGTATTTGTTTTCTCCAGAAATAATGAGGAAATAAAAACATAAGTATGTGGGTAATTAGTGTAGTTTCTTAAAGAAATGAGTTAGGCAACAGGCTAATAATGTATACTTCGCTGGCTTTTGAATGCCAACAATCATATTTTTTATAAGGCACAGGGAAGATTTTTCTAAAGAACAAGTATGTGAACCTGAAAAGTAATCACCACTTGGTAGTGACAATATGGATAGGGTGAAGGGCGTCACCAAGAAGCAATGAAAAGATACATTTGCAGTTAAATTTGAAAACCATGATGTTTAATACATATAGTAATAAAGAATACTTTCTCCTGTTTCAAAATTATTTTAGAATTTAAGATAGAAGCTAAAATACCTAGGGATAATGATATGACTATTGAAAATTAAAAATTAAAGGACATTTTGAGTATTAGAAGTTAAGAATGAGAACTTATTACCCAATGAACAGGGGATAATTCATTATGCTCCATATCCATTGAATTAAAAGACAGGCCCATTACCTGGATAATTTGAAAGTTTAATTTTATTTAAAAGTCTTGTTTCATTCATCAAGCTAAAGGATTAGCTCCCAGAAATATTCTAGGATTGCATATCCCCAACTCTGTAGGAAGTATAGAAAGAATGTTATAAGGGCCACCACCTAAACATTATTATGTAAATAATTTAGTACCATTCCATTTGCCTTTGTAGATTTAAAAATGTAAATGGCTTTCTCATATTAGGAAACATCATTTTTCAAAACCCAGATAAACGTAGTATATTGCAAGAGAATAATTATTTTCTTTATTAAAAAAGAAATACTGGATGCTAAGTCCAAAAGACATAAATTATTTTATACTAATAACTACCAACATTTTATTCATTAAAATATAAAGGTCAAAGATTTTAAAATGATCTTTAAATGATTAATAACATGTTGATCTTTTTCTTCTTTCTGTAAACCTTTTTGAGTCTTAAAAATACTAAACTATACAAGCAATATTAAATAGTATATAAACTTGGATTAAAATATTCAAATTTACTAGAATGTGGACATTGGAAAGAATGAAAATAAACAGAAGCATAAAGCAGCAGATATAAAATTACGAAAGCAACTAAGAGTGTTTAAAGTACATATTCATCTGTAGTCTAATGTCTACCATAAACAATGACTCTTCTCAGTAAAACACAAGTCGTTCATGAAGGGAAAAAGCATGTTGTATTAGAGAATATTCAACATAACTTTTTTAGTACTAACTTGTGCCTGGAGTATTATTGGTTTTTCTATTATGAACTTATGCACTTGATATTTTTTTTCATAAAGATTGTATGTACAACTCCATTCAAAAGCAGTTTTTGGTGGTTTTTTTTTTTTTTTTTTTTTGAGACAGAGTTTTGCTCTTTTCACCCAGGCTGGAGTGCAATGGTGCAAACTTGGCTCACAGCAACCTAGCAACCTTTGCCTCCCAGGTTCAGGTGATTGTCTTGCCTCAGCCTCCTGAGTGGTTAGGACTACAAGCATGTACCACCATGCCTGGCTAATTTTGTGTTTTCAGTAGAGACATGGTTTTGCCATGTTGACCAGGCTGGTCTTGAACTCCTGACCTGAGGTAATCCGCCCACCTTGGCCTCCCAAAGTGCTGGGTATGGGCAAGAGCCACCATACCCGGCCTCAAAAGCAGTTTTTAAAAGCAAACACAATATAACACCAAAGTTGAAAAATCCAGGCTCACCCAAGGATGCCAGGTTTAATAAATTATTTATAGAACACTGCATCAAAAATAAGACAATAACCCAAAATATACCATTAAAGATGTATCCACTCCTACAACTAGAGATAATTAATCTATCTGGTAGCAAATGATACTTCAATCAGTTTCAGCATGTCTGAAATCTTTAAGGACAAAAGTGATAAAACATGACTTCATTCTTCATTAGACTCTTAGAACACTTGAAGGAAGATAATTTCTGAAGCACAAAGAGGTAAAGAGGTGTAATCTCTCAAAAAGATATTCAGTGTTCAAAATCCAAGAGTGCAATATCAGGCTGGGTGCGGTGGCTTATGCCTGTAATCCCAGCACTTTGGGAGACCATGGTGGGTGGATCACCTGAGGTCAGGAGTTCGAGACCAGCCTGGACAACAGGGTGAAACTCTGACTGTACTAAAAATACAAAAATTAGCCAGGCATGGTGGTGTGCACCTGTAGTCCTAGCTACTTGGGGGGCTGAGACAGGAGAATCGCTTGAACCTGGGAGGTGGAGGTTGCAGTGAATCGAGATCATGCCACCTCACTCCAGCATCAGTAACAGAATGAGATTCCATCTCAAAAAAAAAAAAAAAAAAAAAGAGTGTAATATCATATCGGTATACACAGATAATACACTGAATGAAAGAAATAGAATAATTTGAAGAGGTATCTTGATGAACGAGGAGTCATTAGAAAGGTTGTATTCATGTCTTTGAAGCAACTTTGCAATGTGAGAAATTAATACTTTGACTACTATACTAAAAGTTTATTGCTAACATGTATTGAGTTATTAACGTGTGTTAGGCAGAGTACCATATAATTTGCAAGTGTTATCTCATTTATTGTAGGTAAAATGTAATTTCGAACTCTGGGAGTATAAACGAATTAGATAGAATAAAATTCTATTTAAATTGCTATCAGTAAATCGGTATCTAGGAACAGGGTGATACAGTGCCCAAGTTTTCTATTCTTACTAAACGTTGTGTTTCATTTTCAATGTTTTCTTGGATATTGCTCTTTTTTGGCGACTTTGATTTTTTTTATTTTAGAAAACTAATAAATTGACTCTTCTTGGTACTGACTCTTGGGTTTTATAGAAGAAAAAGTAATTAAATTCTGTACATTTACCTTTACCTCATTTTTTCTCTTTTAAATTTACTTTGACATATAATAAATGTACATGTTATGGGGTACAGAGTGATATTTTGATATATTTATGCAATGCATAAAGATCAAGTCACAGTCATTATCACATCCATTACCTAAATCATGTATTATTTCTTTTCAGTGAGAATATTCAAAATCTTTTATTTTAGTTATTTGAAAACACACAATAAATTCCCGTTAACTACAGTCACCCAACAGTGCTGTAGAGAACTAGAACTTCTTCCTTCTCTCCACCTGTAATTTTGTATGTATTAACCACATTTTTCTTATACTCTTCTTTCTCCTACTCTTTCCAGGATATGGTAACCAAAACTCTACTATCTACTTCTACGAGATTAAAAATTTTAGCTTCCATACATAAGTGAGAACACGTAGTTATGTGGTGTTTATGTTTCTATGCCAGGCTTATTTCACCTAACATAGTGCCCTCCACTTGCATTCTTGTTGCCACAAATAACAGGATTTTGTTCTTTATTATGACTAAACAATATTCCATTATATATGTATGTCACATTTCTTTATCCATTCATCTGTTGATGGACACTTTTGTTGATTCCATATCTTGGCTATTGTGAATAGTGTTGTAATAAACATGCAGGTGCAGGTAACTCTTTGATATACTGATTTTCTTTCCTTTGGATATATACTGAAAACCATATGATCAAATTAATAAACACAATAAAAGCATTTGGCAAAATTAAATATTCTTACATGACAAAAAACCTCTTAACAATTTAGTGTAGAAAATATATGCCTTAACACAGAAGGACATAAAGGACAAATCTACAGCTAAGATCATACTGAGTGTGGAAAAGGTGAAAGATTTTACTGTGAACAAGAAAAAGATTTTACTGTAACAAGAAAAGGATGCCTATTTTCACCAATCATATTTCACATAGTGAAAGTCTTAGCCAGGACAATTAGGTGAGAGAAAGAAATACAGGATATCTGAATTGGAAAGGAGACAGTCAAATTGTCCTTGTTTAAAGACAATGTGATCTTATACACGGAAAAAAATAAGATGCTACCAAAAGCTTCTTAGGGTGATACATGAAATTAATAAAGTTGCAGGATATAAATCAACATACAAAAATCAGTAGCATTTCTATATATTGATAGTAAACTAGCTGAAACAAGAAATTAAGAAAGCAATTCCTTTTACAATAGCTACAAAAATGTACTTAGAAATAAATTTAACCAAGGAAGTAAAAGATTTCTACAACAAAAATGACGAATATTAATGAAAGAAATTAAAGAAAACACAAAAAAGACATCCACGTTTATAGATTGAAATAACTAATATTCTTAAAATGACCCACTATCCTATGTAATTTACAAATTTAGTACAATCACTAGCTTGTATTTTTAAAAGCACCTTTGCTGCATATTCTTAAGATATTCAATGACAATGCCTGGATTTATGTTTGAGGTATTATTATATCTATTTTATATTGGGCACAATATAATGTTATCAGAGGTAACGGTTTTGATTGGTCCTAGGTCATACAGTAATATATACATTGTGATTTATAGACGTTATCTTTTAATACTCAGGCATTTAGAAAGTTCATTTAGACAAAGTTATAAAAACTTGCCTTCCTTTCTGCCTATATCACCTAAAAATCCTAATTTAAGAGGTAATAACATTTTTTATTTGATATACAATTTATCAACACAATAAAAATCTAACAATTATCATGTGCAGAGTGTGAAAATCTCATCAGATTAAGGAACGCAAAGACATCTTTTTCATATTTCGAATGTAAAACTCTTTTGGAAACATTTTTAGAAACAGTTAAAAACACTTTTTCATTAGTTTTTCATGTAAAATTGTGACAACCAGCATGAAATAACTGTCATCACAGAAGCATGGTATATTTGATTCCAAAACATATTCTTTGTAAGTTTTAATATATTTATGTATTATTTATACTTAGATTGTAACCCATAATGTAGATATTATTTTTCCTTCAACTCTTAAGAATATTCTTAAATAATAAAATTAAAATGAATTGTAATTTTTGTTGGTTGGGAAAAAGAATAGACACACACGTGACAGTGCATCACTTCACCTCATCATTTCATCTCATTTCATCATTTCATCTCATCATTTCATCTCATTTTATCTCATCATATCATCTCATCATTTCATCAAATCTCATCTCATTTCCATTTCATTTTCATTATTTCATTTCACTATTTCATTTAATTTCATCTAATTTCATTATGTCACTTCATATCATCTCATTTCATCTCATCATTTTTCATATCATTTTTCATCTCATCATTTCATCTCAATTCATTTCATCTCATCATTTCATCTCATCTCATCATTTCCTCCTTTCAACATTTCATCTCATCATTTCTTCTCATCTCATTTCAATTTCATTATTTCATTTCATCTCATTTCATTATTTCACCTAATCTCATTATTTCATCTCATCTCATCTCAATTCATCTCATCTCATTTCATCTCATCATTTCATCTCATCATTTTTCATCTCATTTAATCTCATTTCATTTCGTCTCATCATTTCAGCTCATCATTTCATCTCACCACATCTCTTCATTTCATCATTTCATCTCATCTCATCTTTCAATTTCATTTCAATATCATTTCCTCATTTCATCTCATTTCATTATTTCATTATTTCATTTCATCTCATTTCAATTCATCTCATTTCATCTCATCATTTTTATCTCATCATTTCATCTCATCATATCTCATCATTTCATCATTTCATCTCATTTCTTCTCATCATTTCATCTCATCAGTTTAACTCATTTCGTCTCATCTCAATTTCATTATTTCATTTCATTTCACTTTATTTCATTTCATCTCATCTCATCATTTCATCTCATCTTACCTCATTTCATCTCATCATTTCATCATTTCATCTCATTTCATCTCATCTCACCTCATCTCATTTCATCTCATCTCATCATTTCATCTCATCCTTTCATTTCATCTCCTTTCACCTCATCTCACCTCAGCATTTCATCATTTCATCTCATTTCATCTCATCTCACCTCATCTCATTTCATCTCATCTCATCATTTCATCTCATCCTTTCATTTCATCTCCTTTCACCTCATCTCACCTCAGCATTTCATCATTTCATCTCATCATTTCTTATTTCATCTCATTTTATCTCATTTCATCTCATTTCAATTTCCTTCATTATTTCATTTCATCTCATTCATTTCATCTCATTTCATTACATCTCATCATTACATCTCATCTCATCTCATCATTTCATCTCATCATTGCATCTCATCATTCATCTCATCATTTCATCTCATCTCATCATTTCCATTTCCATTTCATTATTTCATTTCATCATTTAATTTCATCATCTCATTTAATTTCACCTCATTTCATTATTTCATTTCATTATGTCATTTCATTTCATCTCATTACATTTCATCTAATTTCATTTCATCTAATTTCATCTCATTTCATCTCTTTTCATCTCATCATTTCATCTCATCATCTCATCAACTCATTTCATCTTATCATTTCATCATTTCATCTCATCTTATATCTTCTCATCTCATTTCAATTTCATTTCATTATTTCATTTCATTATTTCATGTCATGTCATCTCATCATTTCATCTCATCACATCTCATCATTTCATCATTTTATTTCATTTCATCTTATTATTTCATCTCATCTCATTTCAATTTTATTTCAATTTCATTTTATTTCATTATTTCATATCATTTCATCTCATTATTTCATTATTTCATTTCATTTCATCTCATCATTTCATCTCATCATTTCATCTCATCGTCTCCTCTTATCTCATTTCATCTCATCATTCACCTCATCATTTCATCTCATTATTTTATCTCA
This sequence comes from Homo sapiens, assembly GCF_000001405.40. Taxonomy (NCBI): domain Eukaryota; kingdom Metazoa; phylum Chordata; class Mammalia; order Primates; family Hominidae; genus Homo; species Homo sapiens. The sequence goes on along the minus strand of NT_187383.1, from coordinate 1,720,852 downwards.
CCATTTCATTTCATCTCATCTCATCATTTCATCTCATTTCATCATTACATCTTATTTCATCTCATTTTATGTCATTTCATGTCATCATTTCATCACATCTCGTCTCATCTCATCTTTTCATCTCATCATTTCATCTCATTTCAACTCATTGCATCTCATCTCATGATTTCCATTTCATCATTCCATTTCATCATTCCATTTCATCATTTCATTTCATTATTTCATTTCATTATGTCATTTCATCTCATCACATTTCATCTCATCTCATCATTTCATCTTTCATCTCATTATTTCATCTGATTTCATGTCATCATATCATGTCATCATTTCATCTCATTTCATCACATCTCATCTCATCATTTAATCTCATTTCATCTCATCATTTCATCTCATCTCATCATTTCTTATTTCATCTCATTTTATCTCATCATTTCATCTCATCTCATCTCAATTCAATTTCCTTTCATTATTTCATTTCATCTCATTCATTTCATCTCATTTCATTACATCTCATCATTACATCTCACCTCATCATTTCATCTCATCATTGCATCTCATCATTCATCTCATCATTTCGTCTCATCTCATCATTTCCATTTCATTTCCATTTCATTATTTCATCACTTAATTTCATCATCTCATTTAATTTCACCTCATTTCATTATTTCATTTCATTTTTTCATTTCATTATGTCATTTCATTTCATCTCATTACATTTCATCTAATTTCATTTCATCTAATTTCATCTCATCATTTCATCTCATCATCTCATCAACTCATTTCATCTTATCATTTCATCATTTCATCTCATCATTTCATCTCATCTCGTATCTTCTCAATTTCATTTCATTATTTCATTTCATTATTTCATGTCATGTCATCTCATCATTTCATCTCATCACATCTCATCATTTCATCATTTTATTTCATCATTTCATCTTATTTCATCTCATCTCATTTCAATTTTATTTCATTTTATTTCATTATTTCATATCATTCATCTCATTATTTCATTTCATTTCATTTCATCTCATCATTTCATCTCATCATCTCCTCTTATCATTCATCTGATCATTTCATATCATCATTTCATATCATCACTTTATCTCACCATTTCATCTCATCTCATCATTTCATCTCATTTCATTCATTACATCTTATTTCATCTCATTTTATGTCATTTCATGTCATCATTTCATCACATCTCGTCTCCTCATCTTTTCATCTCATCATTTCATCTCATTTCATCTCATCATTTCAACTCATTGCATCTCATCTCATCATTTCCATTTCATTATTCCATTTCATCATTTCATTTCATTATTTCATTTCATTATGTCATTTCATCTCATCACATTTCATCTCATCTCATTTCATCTCATCTCATCATTTCATCTCATCATTTCATCTCATTATTTCATCTGATTTCATGTCATCATTTCATCTCATTTCATCACATCTCATCATTTAATCTCATCATTTAATCTCATTTCATCTCATCATTTCATCTCATCTCATCATTTCATCATTTCATCTCATCATTTCTTCTCATCTCATCATTGCCATTTCATTATTTCATCATTACATTTCATAATTTCCTTTCATTATTTGATTTCATCTCATTTCATTATTTCATCTCATTTTTCATCTCATTTCATCTCATCATTTCATCTTATCATCTCATCTTATTTCATCATTTCATCTTATCGTTCATCTCATTTCATCTCATCATTTTATCTCATTATATCATCTCATCTCATCTCAATTTCATTATTTCATATCATTTCATTTCATTATTTCATTTCATTTCTTCTCATCATTTCATCTCGTTTCATCTCATCATTTCATCCCTCATCTCATTTCATGTCATCTCATCTCCTTTCAATTTCTTTTCAATTTTGTCATTTTATCTCATCATTTCATCTCATCATTTCTACTCATCATTTCATCTCAAAATTTCATCTCATCATTTCATCTCATCATTTCATCATTTCATCTCATCATTTCATCTCATCTCAAGTAACCTTATCACTTCATCTAAGTGAAATGATGTAATGGAATCATGAAATGAAATGGATAGGATGCCCTCAGTGATGTTAAATTTAAAAATTGTTTTCATGTATTCATTTTTATATTTATATGTATTTATATTTATATTTACTTATATTTCTTTTTACTTATTTTTATTTATATTTTTACTTATTTATTGGTAGACAAGGTCCTGTTCTGTGGCCTAGGCTGGAATGCAGTGGTGCATTCACAGTTCACTGCAGCCTCAAGCAAACCTCCCACCTTAGCCTCCCAGGTAGCTGGGACCCCAGGTGCGCACCACCACACCTGGTTAATATTTTATTATTTGTAGAGATGGAGTCTTGCTATGCTGCCCAGGCTGGTCTCAAACTCCTGGGCTCAAGCAATCCTCCTGCCTTCGCAACCCAAAATGCTGGGATCACAGATATGAGCCACAGTGCCCATCCTATTTATTTACTTATTTATTTATTTAATAAAGAAAAGGTCTCAATATGTTGCCCAGGCTGGTCAACTCCTGGACTCAAATGATTCTCCAAACTTGGCCTCTCAAAATGTTGGGATTACAGGTATGAGCCACCATGCCTGGCCTAAAAATAGTATTATATTTTTGCATTATATAATTTTCAATTAAGTAATATGAATATTCTGTACAGGAAATATGCCCTTAATTACATAGGAATAAACATTTGTTACACTGAGAAAAAATCTAATAGAGCTAAAAATAAAAATTAGTTTGGAGAGGTCATTAGATACTCATACATTCTTACGTTTATATATTCTTTCATATATTCATATATTCTTTTAACAGTATCAATGGTTTGGAGTTATGTGTACAAAACCATGACCTACATGTAATACAACTAATAACAAGCACTTACAATTCAAGGCATATTATATACAAAGCTTTAACTTCTCATCTTCAGATTTTGTTTTTTTTCTTTCTGTTTTGGCAGATACTATGAACACAACATTCAACTCACAGACACTATGGAGCCCTTACTAAGCATAAAGTACTGTGAAAGGCCAGGGCTAGGACAGAACTGAGACAGGGCCAGGGATAGGACAGAACCGGGGCAGGGTCATGGCCAGAGAAAAACCAGGGGCAGGGTCACAGCCAGGGACATAAGAGGACCAAGGCCAGGGCCAGAAGTAGGGCAGAACCAGGGCCAGGGCAGGGACATGGCAGGGGCAGGGCCAGGGCCATGGCAGGATCAGGGCCAGCAGAAGGCCAGGGCAGGGCTAGGGTAGCACAGGGCCAAGGCAGGGCAGGGTCAGTGTAGAGCAAGAAACGGGCCAGGGTATGGCAGGGCAGGGACAGGGAGGTCCAGGGCCAGAGTCAGGTCCAGGACATGGACAGGGCAGGGCCAGAAACATGGCAGGACCAGAAAGGGGAAAGGGCAAGGGCAAGGCCAGAGAAGGACCACAGTAAAAACATGGCCAGGGAGGGTCCAGGGCAAGGGCAAGGCCATGGCAGAACCAGAGCCAGGGCAGTCCAAAGGCAGGGCCAGGGCAGGGCCAGTGTAGGGTGAGGGTAGGGCCAGGGCAAGTTCAGGGCCAGGGCAGGACTAAGATAGCACAGGGCCAAGGCCAAGGCCCTGTACTAAGATAGCACAGGGCCAGGGCAGGGCCAAAGGAGGGGCCAGGGCCAAGCATGGCCAGTGTGCGGCCTGGGGATTGTCAGGGCCAGGGCCAGGGTCAAGGCTGAGCCAGGAACAGGGCCAGAGCAAGGGCAGGGCCAGGGAGAAGGCAGAACCAGAGAGGATCCAGAGAAAGGGCAGGGCCAGGGCAGAACCAGGACCAGGATAAGGCAAAGCCAAGGCCAGGGCAGGGCAAGGCCAGGGCAGGGCAAGACCAGGGAAGGGCAAGGCCAGGGTAGAAATGGCCAGTGTACGGCCAGGCCAGGGTAGGAAAAGGCCACGGTAGGGCCAAGGCCAAGGCGGGGCAGGGCTAGGGTAGCACAGGTCATGGCCAAAAACAGGGCAGGGCCATAGCAGTGGCAGGACTAGCAACAGGGCCAGGGTAAGCGCTGGACCAGAGCATGGTGGGGACAATACAGGGCCAGGACAGATGATGGCAAGGCAGGTCCAGGGTCATTTCATGGACTCGGTAGGCCTGGGGTCAGGCCAGGGCAGGGAAAGGGCAAGGCCAGGGAGAAGGCAGGGCCAGGGCCAAGGCACTGCCAGGGCAGGGCAGGACCAGTGCAGGGTGAGGGAAAGGCCAGGGCATGGAAGGGCAGGGCAGGACCAAGGAAGGGCCAGGAGAATGCCACGGCAGGGTCAAGGCCAGAACAAGGGTACGGGTGGGGTCAGAAATATGGTAGGGCAAGGGCTGGGCCCAGGCTGGGACATGCAGGGCAGAGCATGGCCTGTGCAAGGCAGGGCCAGAGCCAGGCCATAGAGATGGGAGGGCAACACCAAGGCAGAGTCAGGGTAGATCCAGGGCTGAGCAGAGTCAGGGCAGGTCCAGAGTCGAGGCAGAGCTAGGGCCCAAGCAGGGCCATGGCAGCACCAGGGCAGAAAAGGGCAGGGCAATGCAGGACTGGGCCATGGCAGTGCCTGGTCAACTCTGGGGCAGGGCCAGAAGCAGGACAGGGCCAGGGCCAATGCTCAGACCAGGGACAGGGCATGACAGGAAGTGCCAGAGCAGGGCTGGGCCAACGTTGGGACAGGGCAAATCAGACCAGGACACCTCCAAGTCCAGCTCTGGCCCTGCCTTGGCCCTGGCCCCTTCCTGACCTGACCTTGTCCCTGGCCCTGCCCTATCCATGCCCTGTGTGTTTGACCAGTGTTTTATAACCAGAATCCTATAAGAAACTTAAATCAGCTCTTTTTGTGCATTTTTAGTAGAGATGGGGTTTCACAATGTTGCCCAGGCTGGTTCCAAACTCCTGAGCTCAAGCCATTTGCCTGCCTTGGCCTCCCAAAGTGCTGGGATTACAGGAGTAATCTGGCCAAGTATTTAACTTCTTTATGCCTGTTTCCTACATTTGGAAAATGGGGATGCTTTAAGTACCTAGCACCTAGAATTATTGTGAGAATCAATGCCTCACATATTTACATATTGATAAAATTGTACTCATAGAACACTACTGGAAGCAAAGATAGTATTAGTTAAAATTTAGTGATTATTTACTGCAAATATTATTACTATTACAAACAACATAGTATAGACATTATTACCACTACTATAGTTATCTTAAAAATCTAAAATAAAAATTTTATGTGATAGCCTAATGTAATCTCTCCTGCTCTGCCCCGGCTCAGCCCTAGTGCCGGCTCTGCCCCTAGTCCTACCACATCACTGGCCCTGACCCTTCCCTGGTCCTGCCGCTGCCCCGGCCCTTCCCATCTTCAGGCCTTACCATGGCCCTACCCTGGTCCTGACCCTGGCCCTACCCCAGAGAAGGGGTATGGCAGAGCCAGGGAAGGGCCGGGGCAAATAAGGGACAGGACACATCCAAATCCAGGAAAGGGCCAGGGCCATGACAGAGCCAGGGCGAGTCCTTGGCAGGGCCAAGTTCCAGGCCAGGGCCAGGAAAGGGTCATGGCAGGGTCACTGTACGGCCAAGGTCCAGGCCAAAGCCAAGGCAGGGGCAGGGGCAGGCCTGCATAAGGGCAGGACCAGAGCCAGTGATACGGCAGGGCCAGGGCTGTGCCAGGACAGAACAAGAGCAGAGCAGGGCAGGACCAGAGCCAGGCCATAGAGAGAGTAGGGCAAATGCCAAGCCAAGGCCAGGGTAGTGCCAGGGCTGAGGCAAGGTCAGGGAAGGTCCAGGGCTGAGTCAAGGCTGGAACCAAGACAGGGGCAAAGGCCGGGGCAGATCTAGGGCACAAGCAGGGCAGGCTAGGGCAGGCCAATGGCAAGACCAGGCCATGGCAGGGCCAGCCCAGGATAGAACAGGGCACAGGCAGGGCGGGGCCGGGGCCACGGCTGGGGCAGGACAAGGACCAGTACTGGGGTCCAGGCCAGGGCAAAGGTATAGCCAGGGCAGAGGTAGGGCCAGAACCAGGGTCTGGGTAGGACCAAGGAGGGTCCATTGCAGGGCCAGGGTTCAGACCAGGGCCAGAACAGGGCTGGGACAGGGCCAGGGCCAGGACCAGGAAAGGGCAATGTCAGGATAAGAGCCATGGCAGGACCAGCAATGGGGCTAGGGCCAGGACAGGGACAGGGTCAGGGCTAGGGCCAGAATAGCATGCCAGGGTAGAGCCAGGCCAAATTAGGGCCAGGACAGGGTCAGGACCAGGGCTGGGACAGGGTATGGCCTTAAGTAGCAAAGGGCCAGGGCCAGGGTCCATGCCAGTGACAGCGCTGGTCCAGGGCAGAGGCAGGGCCATGGCCAGGTCAAGGACAAGGCTGGGGCAGGGCCAAGGTCTGGGTCAGGGTCAGCATGAGACCAGGACAGAGCCAGGAGAGGGACAGGGCCATGGTAGGGCCAGGTTAAATCAGGGACAAGACACCTGCAAATCCAATTCAGGGCCGGGGTCAGGGCAGGGCCAGTTCAGGGCCAGGGCCAAGACAGGGCCAGGGCCGGGGCTGTCAGGGTCATTGGCAGGGCAAGGGCCATGGCAGGAGTAGGGTCAGGAGCAGGGGTCAATGCCAGGCCAATGCCACAGATAGGACCAGGTATGTGCTAGGGCCAAGGCGGGGTCAGGGCAGGGCCAAAGGGAGGGCAGGGCCAGGGCAGGTCTATGGCTGGGGCCGGGGCAGGGCCAGGGCCGGGGCAGGGCCACGACAGTGGCAGCTCCAGGGCAGGGCCAGGGTTAGGACCACGGACATGTCCAAGGCCAGTGCCAGGGCAAGGACAAGGGCAGGGGCAGGGCCAGGGTCATCTAAGAACCAGGGACAAAGCCAGGCCCAGAGCAGGGCCAGGACAGGTACCTGGCAGGGCTAGGGTCTGGGGCAGGGCCATGGCAGGGCCAGGGCCACAACCAGGTCTGCGCTATGGCCAGGTACAACACAGTGCCCAGGTAAGGCTAGGATGAAGGCCAAGGTAGGGCCAGGGCAGGGTCAAAGCCAGGCTAGGGCCAAGGCAGGACCAGGGCCGTCAAGGAAGGGCCAGGAAAGCATAGGGCCAAGGCAGGGCAGGGCCAGGCCAGTGCCAAGACCTGGGCAGGGCCAGGGAACAGCCAGGGGAGGGCCAGGGCCAGGGCCTGGGCAGGACCAGGTTTGGGGCAGGAGCAAAACAAGGGCAAGGACAGTGCAGGATCTTGGCACAGCCAGGGTCCAGGACAGTGTCAGGGCAGGGCCAAGGCAGGGTCTGGGCCATGATAAGACCAGCAACAGGGCTGGGGCTAGGCCAGTGACAGGACCAGAGTCAGGGCAAGGGCCAGAGCAGTGCAAGGCCAGGGTAGGGCCAGGCATTTCAGGGTCAGGGCCAGAGGAGAACCAGGGCAAGGTCTCAAGCAGGGAAGGGCCAGGGCCAGGCCAGGGCCAGGACAGGGCCAGGACAGGTCCAGGGCAGGGCCATGACAGGGCCAGGGGCTGTGTTAGGGCAAGGGCAGGGCCAGAGCAAGGTAAGGGTCAGGGCCAAGGCCAGGGTAGGGACAGGGCAAGAAATATGGCAGGACCAGGGGCAATGCCAAGGCCAAGGCTGGGCCAGGGCTGAGCCAGGGCTGAGTCAGGGCAGGGCAGGGCAGGGCATGGTATGGCCAGTGCAGGACAGGACAAGAGCCGGTCCACAGAGAGAGCAGGACTGATGCCAAGAAAGAGCCAGGCTAGTGCCAAGGCTGAGGCAGTGTCAGAACATGTCCAGGGCAGGGCCGGGCCCAGGGCCAGAACTGAGCCAGGGCACAGCCAAGGCAGGGTACGGCAGGGAAATAGCATGGCCGGGTCAGTACTGGGACAGGGCAGAGCAGGGCAAGGCAATGGTAGGGGCAGGGCAGGGACAGGCCAATGCAGAGCCATGTTACGCCGGGGCCAGGACACCTCCAAGTCCACTTCAGGGCCAGGGCTATGGCAGGACAAAGACCAGGGCCAGGGTCAGGGCCAGGTCTGTGCTAGGGCCAGCTCCAGAGCAGGGCCTAGCGAAGACTAGGGTGAGGGCCAAGGTAAGGCCAGGGCAGGGTCAAAGGCAGAGTAGGGCCAGGGCAGGGTGATGACACATCCAGAGCACAGCAGGGCAGGGTGATGGCCAGACCAGGGGCAGACCACTGCCAGCTCAGGGCCAGGGAAAGGCCAGTGCAGAGCCAGGAGAGGGTCAGGGCCAGGAACAAGGCAGAGCAGGGCCAGGGCCATGGCAGAGTCAGGGCAGGTCCTTGACAGGACCAGGTTCCAGGCCAGGGCCAGGGCAGCAGCAGGGGCAGGGCCTGGATAAGGGCAGGGCCAGGGGTATGGCAGGACCAGGGCTAGGGCCAGGGCCAGGCCGTAGTGAGGGCAGGGCAAAAGTCGAGGCAGGGTCTGGGCAGGTCCAGGGAGTGGCCAGCACCAAGCGGGGCCGAGGTACAACCAGTGCAGGGTAAAGCAGGGCAATGGCACCACTGGGCCATGACAGGGCAAGGTCAGTGCCAGGAGAAGGCAGAAAAGGCAGGCCCATGGTAGGGCCAGGGCAGGGATGGGCCAAAGCAAGACCAGGACATGTCCAAGGCCAGGTCAGGGCCAGAACAGGAGTAGGACCATGACCACTGGCAGGGCCAGTGCCATGACATGACCAGGGTCAGGACAAGGGGTAGGGCCAGAGCCAGGGCCAGAGCCAAGGTCAGGCCAGTGCAGGTTCAGGGCAGGGCCAGTGCCGGTTCAGGGCAGGGCCAGTGCCAGGGCAAGACCAGGGCAGGGACAGGGTAGCACAGGGCCAAGACAGGGTCAGGATGGGACCAGAGCAGGACAGGGCCGAGACAGTCCATGTAACAGTAGGGCAGGTACAGGGCAATGCAGGGCAAAGCCAGGCCCATTGCCAATGCACCAGCCTTCCCTACAAGGCTCCTACCACCTGGCCACTGCTGCAGCCCGTCCATCGCTGTAAGCCTGACCCCCAACCCTGGCTGCAGCCGCCTGCCCTCCTAGCGCGGCCGCTCTCCTACCGCTCTGGCGCACTGCAGTCTCTGTCGCTGCCACCCACCCGCAGTGAGGCAAGTCGTGGTGTCGCAGGCTCTAGGTGTCTCCTCCTCCTCCTGGCATGGAGCAGCTGGGTGGGCAAAGCCAGAAAAGCCTAGAGGAAGATGTGAGGGGTGGAAGGGTTAGAGCCTCAACTTGTCATGCTGGCCACTGGGTGGCAGGGGCCAGTTTCAGCAAAGGCACTCACACCCACCCTCCAAAGTCCAGCCTCTCCTTTTGGTCCAAGCTGGCCAGGAACTGGGGTCTGGGGAGGGTGCTGGAGACACCACAGCACCCAGCTCCCCACTCCACAGGAACCATTGGGCCCACCGGGGCTGCACTCCTCGGGGAGCAGGAGAAGCAGAAAAATTCAGACCCAGCCAGCCCTCTGCACCCAGGTGCCAATTCCTGTTCCAGACGCCTCCACACACAGGGCCCTGTCCCCCGTGGTGTCCCCAGGGGTGCCTGGCAGCCTCTGAGGCACAGACCCAGAGTGCACAGGCCCAGGAACCATGGTGGGTGTGGGGGCTCTGCCGTGCTCAGGATTCCCACGCAAATGCTGCGTGCCTGCCGCATTCCAGTATGACCAAGAGTGGGTCGCCCTCTGGAGTGTGGAGTCAGGGAGAGGAGAACCACTCCTTCCTTGGATGCCAACTCTGCTGACCACTGCCAGCAGTGCAGCCCCTGATAGCACTGAACTCGCCCCCACTCCACGGCTAGTCCTGCCCTCAATAGCGCCCCCCACCTCCATCCCCCAATGCCGCCAGTAGCGTATACCTGATAGTGCCCTAACCTGTCCTCCTCCATGGGCATTGCAGCCCCAGAAAGTGCCCATAACCCACCCTCCCTGCCATGGGAAGTGCAGCCCTGTACAGTGCTACCAACCAGTACCCCTAATGCAGGCAATGACACCCTGGATAGCACCCCCAACCCACCCCACACTGTGAAAGGTGCAGCCCTGGATAGCCCCTGTCCTACCACTCTGGTCGTGCTGCAGTCTCTGTCACCGCCACCACCAACCATAGTGAGGCAAGCCAGTGGGCCACAGGCTCTAGCACTCAGCAGCCAGACATGGAGCAGCTCTCGCCGATGACCAGCTCCCACCACTCTGACCACGCTGCTATCTCCGTGGCCATCTTCTTTGACTACAAAGGAATAAAACTAGATATCAATAAGAAGAGTAATTTTGGAAACAATACAATCACATGGAAGTTAAACACTACCCACCTGAATAAATGACTAGCGGGTCAATGAAGATACTAAGACAGAAATTCAAAAATTTCATGAAACAAAGGGTAACGAAAACACAGTATACCAAAACTTGTTATGCAGAAAGCAGTACAAAGGCAGAGATTTACAGCTATAAGTGCCTACCATCCAAACAAAAGAAAAACTTCAAATAAACAATACATCTTAAATAACTAGTAAAGTAAGAACAAACTAAACCAAAAATAAGAAAAATAAATAAGATCATAGCAGAAATAAAATTGAAAGAAAAAACACACAAGATGAAATGAAAAGTTGGTTTTCTGGAAAGCAAAACAAAATTGACAAACTTTTAACCAGGCTAACTAAGAAAAAAGAGACAAGATTCAAATAAATAAAATCAACAGATTAAAAAAGGCAGACATTACAACTAATACTTCAGAAATTCAAAGGATCATAACTGGCTATTATATGCCAATAAATTGGAAAGCCTAGTAGAAATTGGCAAATTCCTAGATGCATACAACCTACTTAGGTTGAACAATGAAAACATCCAAGACCAGAACAGATTGGTAACAAGTAATGAGATTGAAGCCATCAGAAAAAGTCTCCCAGTAAAGAAAAGCCCAGGAACTGATGTCTTCACTGCTGATGGCTTCACACCAAACAATTTAATGACCTAGTACAAATCCTACTCAAACTATTTTGAAAAACAGGAGGGAATACTTCCAAACTTGTTCTATGAGACCATTATTACTGTGATACCAAAATCAGACAAAGGCATCAAAGAAGGAAACTACAGGCCAGTATCTCGAATATTGATGCAAAAATCCTCAACGAAATACCAGTGAATCAAATTCAGTAAAACATTAAAAAGATAATTCATCATGATCAAGTGGGATGTATCCCTGGGATGCAAGGGTCACTCAACATACAATGTGATACATCATATCAACCAAATAAACGACAAAAACAGTATGATCATGTCAACTGAAACTGAAAAAGCATTTGATGAAATTCAATATCCCTTCATGCTATTAATCCTCAAATAAACGGGTACAGAAGAAACATACCACAACATAATAGAAACTACAGGAAAGACACCCAAAGCTAGAATCATATGGAGAGAGGTCCAGGCTGCAGTGGGCTGTGATCCCACCACTGCACTCCAGCCTGGGCAACAGAGTGAAAGCCTGTCTCAAAAAAAAAAATACATAAAAAGAGGTATGAGCCCCTTTTATAGGTGCAGTGACTCACATCTGTAATGCTAACACTTTCTGGGAGGCTGAGGTGAGAGGATCTCTTGAGGCCAGGAGTTCAAGATCAGCCTGGGCAAAATAGCGAGACCCTTTATCTACAAAAAAATTTTAAATATTTGCCAGGTGTGGTGGCACGTGCCTGTAGTCTCAAACAATTATCACATGACCCGGATAGTGTATTCCTTAGGGATATACCCAAGGGAAATGAAAATATACATCCACACTAAAATTTGTACACAAATGTTCACAGCAGCATTGTGCATAATAGCCAAAAATTGGAAAAAAAACTCAAGTGCCTATCAATAGAGGAACTGATAAAATATGGTATATCCATTCAAAAGATTACTCAGCATTAGAAAAGAGTGAAGTGCTGATATACGCTACAGCATGGATAAACCTTGAAAACACTGTGCCAAGTGAAATAAGTCAATCACAAAAGACCATATGTAGTAAGATTTCATTCTGTGAAACCTCCAGAACAGCTAAACTCAGAGACAGAAAGTAAGCTAGTTATTGCCAGGGACTAGGGGAAAAGGGAATAAGGATGACTGCTAATGGGTATGGGATTTCTTGTGGACTGATGAAAATGGTCTGAAAGTATCTAGATACCTGTCTTGTTTGTGCGATTCTGTGAACATATTATAAACCACAAAATTCTGCACTCAAGGGGTTGATTTCATGGTAGGTGCATTTATCTCATTTATCTTTATCTCAATAAAGCTTTTTAAAGACACTTTAAAAAGACATATCTGTATAAGCTACAAAAATAACACACTGAGACTAAAATGCTTAATTTTTCCATTTTTCTTCTTCAGCACAATCTCAAGTCCAAAAGTCCTTCCTTCCTATATATGCATATTTTGTCCAGTGAAACAAGAAACTCTATTAACTTTTTTATTAGAAATAAAAAAAAGCCATGTGTGCTGGCTCACAGCTGTGCTTCCAGCTATTCAGAAGGCTGAGGAAGAAGGATCACTTGAGGCCAAGACTGGGAGTTCAAGACCAGCTGAGGCAACATAGCTAGATCCTGTCTTTAAAAATATTTTTTAGGCCAGGCACGGGGGCTCACGCCTGTAATCCCAGCACTTTGGGAGGCCAAGGAGGGCAGATCATTTGAGATCAGGAGTTCAAAACCAGCCTGGACAACATGGTGAAACCCCATCTCTTCTAAAAATATAAAAATTAGCCAGGTGTAGTGGTGGGCACCTGTAGTTCCAGCTACTTGGGAGGCTGAGGCAGGAGAATTGCTTGAGCCGGGAGGGTGGAGGCTGCAGTGAGGCCAAGATCATTCCACTGCACTCCACCCTGGGTGACAGAGCAAGACTCTGTCTCAGGAAAAAAAAAAAAAAAAAAAATATATATATATATATATATATATATACATATATATATATACACACACATATACGCATATATGCGTATATGTATATACGCATATATGTGTGTATGTATATATATATTTTTTAGGTTAAAACCCTACTGAAATGAAACTAATAAAATAAAATTCAACTTAATTAAAAAATAGTTCCTGAAATATTAATTTTCAAACAATTCTATTTTAGCTTTGACTCTGAACAAAATATAAACGTCAATTTCAAAATATCACAAAGATTGGCTGGGGGCAGTGGCTCATGCCTGTAATTCCAGCACTTTGGGAGGACGAGGCAGGTGGATCACTAGAGGCCAGGAGTTCCAGAGCAGCCTGGTCAACATAGGGAAACCCAGTCTCTACGAAAAAAATACAACAAAAATTACCCGGGTCTAGTAACCCCAGCTACTCAGGAGGCTGAGGCATTAGAATCGCTGGAATCTGGGAGGTGGAGGTTGCAGTGAGTGGAGATCATGCCACAGCACTCCAACCTGGGCGACAGACTGAGAGTCTGTCTCAAAAAAATAAAAATAAGGCCAGGTGCTGTGGCTCACACCTGTAATCCCAGCACTTTGGGAGGCCAAGGTGGGCAGATCACTTGAGGTCAAGGAGTTTGGGACCAGCCTGGGCAACACAGTGAAACCTCCTCTCTACTAAAAATACATAAATTAGCTGGGCGTGGTGGCACACACTTGTAATGCCAGCTACACCAGAGGCTGAGGCAGGGGAATTGTTTGAATTCGGGAGGTGCAGGTTGTAGTGACCTGAGATTGTGCTACTGCACTCCAGCCTGGACGACAGAGTGAGACTCCATCTCAAAAAAAATAGAAAAAAAAAAGAAAATTTAAATTTAAAATTTAAAAAAGTCACAGAGACTACAAATACTCAGGTTTAAGCAAATTCCCACCTTTCTTGAATTAACAGTAATTCATATTTGCTTTGTCAAAAATGTAGATATTTACCTGCCTCAACGGAATGAAATCCTAAAAGCCTAGTGTTCTCAAATGATGAAGACAAAGAAACATGCATATTTTAATTTAGAATTTTGATTCAGAATTAATTTTAACCTAGCTGGAGTATACATAATCATCTATGTATTTATTTACTTATTTAAGAGACTGGGTTTCGCTGTGTTATCCAGGATGGAATGCAGTGGCACAACCTTGGCTCACTGCAACTTGTACTTCCTGAGCTCAAGCGATCCTCCCACCTCAGTCTCCAGAGTAGCTGGGACTGCAAGTGCACGTTACCACACCCAGCTAATTTTTGCGGAGACGAGCCTCGCTATGTTTCCCACACTGGTCTCTAACTCCTTGGCTCACTACAGCCTCAAGCCCCTGGGCTCAAGCAATCTGCCTCCCAAAGTGCTGAGATTACAGGAGTGAGCCACCACAACCGGCCTAGTCGATAGTGTATACTAAGCAACATATACCCTGCTTTTGCCTAGAACATACTGAAAACATGGCATTAAAAACAATCACAAAAGTTGGGAGCTGAGAAAAATATACTGTAAAACAAATCTGACAGATATTAATCTCAAGAAGCTCCTGAAAATGTCTCAAGAACTCCTATGCTGCACTCTCCCTAATAATTTAGACTTTCTACAGATATTTTCTGATCATCTACCATGTGCCAGGCACCATGCCAGGTACCAAGATGCCATGGTGAGGTATACACAAAACCGGCTCCTGCTTGCGGGAAGCCTACTCTCTCAAACAGTGCTTGCCAAGCTCGACTGATCACAACTTGGGAGCTTGTTTAAGTTCCAAATCGGCTTCCCTGCTTAGGTGAGCCACAATCCGTGGCATTTTTATCAGGTGCTCCCAATGATTCCTACGCTCTAACGGGTTTGGGAGGAAAGGGTGGGGGTAAGCTCGAGAGCCCAGACCCATCCCGTCCAGCGGGGGCCCCACCTCTAAAGTCCATGTCGCTCAGCATCCTTCCCCCTGACTAGTGGCCCAAACACAGCACGAAGCTGAGGTGGGTGGAACGCTTTCCAAAACAGCGCTCTGTGATGAGCCACCGACAGACTTGCTCGCCTCCGGGAACGAAGAGCTCACTCCTCACAAACCCCACCAGGGAAAGGTAGCACCTGAGCCTCCCGGGCTGCGCGGACACCTGTCTCCCCGCGGGTGCCGCCTACTACTCCGGTGGACTCCAGTCCCCAGGTTCCGCCCCACGGGGACTGGGGGGAGGGGGGAGGCGCCGCGCGCATTAGGCGCTGACAGTATACCGACCCCCCCTCCGGTGTGCACAGGCCAACACCCATACACACCCTCACACACCCGCACACACTCCCGTGGAAACTGAGGCAGGCAGGCGGCGGACCAGGTCCCGCCGCCTGACGGCTAGCGGCTGGGATGGAACCCGGACTGCCAGACGCCTTCCGCCTCACAGGCACTCCTCAGCCGCTGAGGCCCGGCCTGGCTCCCACCGCCGGAGTTTCACAAAGAAAGTCTCCCGGCCCGAGCCCCTCACGCACTCACCGGCGCCGACGCCCGCGGCGACTGGGGCTCCCACCTCCTTCAGCTCCTTGCGGGGGTCGGCCCTGGGGTCGGCTTGGGCGCCGGCAGCGGCGACTGCTCCACATCCACCGGGTCCGGGCCGCGTCCGCCTCGAGCTAAGGGTCCCGCCAGCTAGGCGCGCGCGCCAGTTCCGGGCGCCATGTTCCCGCCGTGCTGCTCGCCGCCGAGGCGACCCTCACTGCCCCCCAGCCGCGCGCGCCCCCGCGGGCCCACACACGAACCGCGCACGCGCGCGTTCGCCGCGCCCCCCTCCCTCCCCGCGCGCCCCGCCTCGCCCCTCTGGAGCTGGCCGCTGTTCCCAGTGTCTCGCCCACCCCCGCCGGGCCCGTCCGACTCCGCGGGTGAGCGCGTGGTTCCCGGCTGGGCACCGCCGCCTGCCTCTCTGCAGACCACCCCGGACCCGACCCCTTGGCCACTTCCCCACACTGCCCCTTTCGCTTCCCCCACCACGCGGGGCCTAGGAAGAGGGTCTGGGCCAAGAGGAGCTTCCCTGCAAGAAGTGCCCAGCTAAGGACGCTACTAAGGGGGCGGGATCGCCACCGTGGAGGTGTGCAAGCAGGTGCCTGCGTCCCGGAGACAGCCGACTCAACGGAGAAGCTGAGTTGAAGTCCCACATCTCCACTAACACTTGCGTGTTAGGGTCAGGGCTTCGGAACTTGTTTCTCCTAAATCTTTTTTTTTTTTTTTTTTGAGACAGTCTCGCTCTGTCACCGAGGCTGGAGTGCTGTGGTGCGATCTCGGCTCACTGCAAGCTCCACCTCCCGGGTTCACGCCATTCTCCTGCCTCAGCCTCCCGAGCAGCTGAGACTACAGGTGCCTGCCACCACCTGCTGATTTTTGTATTTTTAGTAGAGGTGGGGTTTCACCGTGTTAGCCAGGATGGTCTCCATCTCCTGACCTCGTGATCCTCCCGCCTTGGCCTCCCAAAGTGCTGAGATTACAGGCGTGAGCCAGCGCGCTCGGCCTGTTTCTCCGAAATCTAAAGACTCAATATCATAATCAAGAGAACGCCTCAGCACCGCGCCTAGCACTTAGTAGGTAGTGATCAAGAGAGAAGATCTCTTAAGTGGTTTTAATGGTTAAGGACCACAGGTTCTCAAGAAAGGGAAATCTCAATTCAAGTCCCGTCTCCATCTCTTGGAAACTGAGAAACCTTGAACAAGTCACTCAGAGGAGCCAAAGATCCTTGATTTCTACATGTGCAAAAGGGGAGTGTGGCAGTAGCACTGCACAGGGTTGACTGAGCTTTCAGGGAGATGATGACTGTACGATCATGCCTCTCTTAATCACGGGATGGTTCTGAGACATGCCTCCTTAGGTGACTGCAGCATTGTGCAAACAGCAAAGTGCATTTACACAAACCTTGTATAGCCTTGTATAGCCTACTAAACACCTAGGCTGTATGGCCTATTGCTCCTAGGCTACACACCTGTACAGCCTGATACTTTACTGAATGTACCATAAGCAGTTGTAACGCAATGTAAGTACTTGTGTACCTGAACATAGAGAAGGTACAATAAGAATAGAGTATAAGAGAATTTAAAATGGTACTCCTGTATAGGGCACTTACCACGAAAGGAGCTTGCAGGACTGGAAGATGCTGTGGATGAGTCAATGAGTGTGAAGGCATAGGACCTTACTGTACACTACTGTAGACTTTATAAACACCATATGCTTAGGCTACACCAAAATTTTTTAAAGCTTTTCTTCAATAAATTCACCTTAGCTTACTGAAATGTATCTTAAAAATTTTGCCAGTCATGGTGTCTCACGCCTGTAATCCCAGCACTTTGGGAGGCCGAGGCAGGCAGATCATTTGAGGTCAGGAGTTCAAGACCATCCTGGCCAACGTGGTGAAACCCTCATCTCTACTAAAAATACAAAACTTAGCCAGGCATGGTGGTGTGCACCTGCAATCCCAGCTACTCAGGAGACTGACGCAGGAGAATCGCTTGAACCTAGGAGGCGGAGGTTGCAGTGAGCCGAGATCGTGCCACTGCACTCCCGCCTGGGCAATTACATGCATGGAGATGTCCTCTCCTGTGATAACAATGCCTTCTTCTTCCAGAATACTTCCTGAAGGACCTGCCTGAGGCTGTTTTATAGTTAATTATTTTTTAATGTAAGTAGAAGACATACATTCTAAAATTATGAAAAACACTAAATACACCAGGGCTGGGCACAGTGTCTCATGTGGGTAATCCCAGCACTTCAGGTGGCTGAGGTGGGAAGATCATTTGAGGTCAGGAGTTTGAGACCAGCCTGGGCAGTGTGGTGAAACCCCATCTCTGCTAAAAATACAAAGATTAGCTGGCCGTGGTGGTGGGTGCCTGTATTCCCTGCTACTCAGGAGGCTGAGGCAGAAGAATCGCTTCAACCTGTGAGGCAGAAGTTGCAGTGAGCCAAGATCGCGCCACTGCACTCCAGCCTGTGCGACAGAGCAAGACTCTGTCTCAAAAACATAAGATAAACCAGTAACATAGTTGTTCATTATCAAGTATTATATATTGTATGTAATTGTACATGCTATGCTTTTATAGAACTGGCAGCACAGATTTGTTTACACCAGCATCACCAGAAACACAGAAATGCATTACCCTAACATTACAATGGCTATGTCACTAAGCAATAGGAATTTTTCAGCTCCATAATCGTCTTATGGTACCAGTGACTTACATGTGGTTTGTCATTGACTAAAATGTCATTATACAACACATGACTGCATATCCCAGGGCCCAATGCCTGGCACACACAAAGCTGAGTTTCACTGGTGTAATTCCCACCCTATCCATCCAAGAATCCTGAAAGTTTAATGAAAGGGGCTCTGCTCCCAAAACCCTGTGGTATAAGTAGCTGGGAGGAGTTCGCCCAACTTGGGGTTGCAAGGACTCTTTCTTCCCACCTCTTTGCTTTCCTTTCTCTCCCCCAAACTTCTCTGAAAACCCTAAAGTTGGCAGAAAAATGGAGAATGTTTTCCCTACTAACAAAAAGAATCTTCAAGAGTCTCTTGGGATTTGTAAATGGTTGCATTTACTAGTCTGGTTTTTTTTTGTTTTGTTTTTTTGTTTTTGTTTTTGTTTTTTTTGAGATGGAGTCTTGCTCTGTCACCTAGGCTGGAGTGCAGTGGCACGATCTCGGCTCACTGCAACCTCCGCCTCCCAGATGCAAGCAATTCTCTTGCCTCAGCCTCCTGAGTAGCTGGGATTAAAGGCACGCACCACCACGCCTGGCTAATTTTTTTGTATTTTTAGTAGAGACAGGATTTCACCATGTTGGTCAGGCTGATCTCAAACTCCTGACCTCATGATCCACCTGCCTTGGCCTTCCAAAGTACTGGGATTACAGGCGTGAGCCACTGCACCCAGCCTTCTAGTTTCGTATTTTTCTTATTCAAGTAACAAGGAAAAAATAAATAACTCCACCAAGAGGAAAACAGAAAAAAGGAACAAAACTGATAGCATGACTGAAAAGGCCTGGGGTGGTACCTCACTTCAGGCATAGCTGGATACAGGCACTTATACAAGATAAGTCTCTCTAATCTCTCTGTGCTTGCTTCCCTTTGATTACTTCATTCTCATGCAATTCTTTCCACATAGTGGCCTGAGCAGCTCCTAACTCACATCTGCGCAAGAAAGCAGAGGCTGTTCCCCAATAGTCCCAGCCAAAGTCCCAGGACTGACTTTCACTGGACCCGTTTGGGCCACATGCCCTGCCTGAGCCAATCACCACATCCAGCCTGGCCAGACCTGGCTTTCATGAAGCCCCTTCAGGAAGCAGTTGGGGTCATCCCCTCCAGAAGGACATGGGGAAAACCAGAAAGTGGGAGGAGGGATGCTTCCTTCTGAAAAATAGGGATGCAATTACCACAAGAGGTATCAGATACAGGGCTGGCACAAACAAGAGCTATCCACGGCACCATCATGTAGGCATGCAGCTGGTCCACCATGAAGCAACCTGGCTGCTCCGCAAAATGGAATCACAGTTAATTCAGCCAATGAGAAATATCCCTCTACTTGGGTTCCCACCATTCACCCCAGGCCTGGCACGTCCCACATTTCCTTGGTCAAAGGCAAGCAAATTACCCGCCTTTTATGCTGCACAAAAAGCTGAAAAGATTATCTTACTTCTCTGGCTCAAGAACTTTCTATGACTCCCTCTGGCTACTTATGTGGCTCCCCCACCCTTAATGATAGAAGCCAACATTCATGAATCCCCTACCACATGCCAGGTACCTTATGACCTGCCTCCTCCAAACAGCATAGAAGAGGTTGGTACTCTTACCGCACCCATTTTATTAATATGGAAACAAAGGCTCAGCAATTTGAGGTAATTTACCAAGAGCCAAAGTTAGGAAGTGCAGAGTTCAGATTAGCACAATATTGTTCCCGCCATTGCCATCCCAGCTCCATTTGTTCATGTTTCAAAGTCCTACACCCACCTCTAGCTAGGGGCCAGTGGGAACAGCTCCATGGCAGAAGAAGCCTCTAGGAACCCCTTCAGCTTCTGCAGTGGTGGGGCTGGGGAGTAGGTGCAAAAGATACTTAGCTTTACCATCCTCTCCCATAACATTTTTTTTTTTTTTGAGATGGAGTCTCACTCTGTCACACAAGCTGGAGTGCAGTGGTGCGATCTCAGCTCACTGCAACCTCTGCCTCCTAGGTTCAAGCAATTCTCATGCCACAGCCTCTGGAGTAGCTGGGATTACAGGTGCCCACCACCACACCTGGCTAATTTTTGTATTTTTAGTAAAGATGGGGTTTCACTATGTTGTCCAGGCTAGTCTCAAACTCCAGACCTCAAGTGATCCACCCGCCTCAGCCTCCCAAAGTGCTGGGATTGCTAAGCCACCATGCCTGGCCCCATCTCCCATAACTTAATGGGGTAGGGAAAAGAATTCCTCCAAGATAAAATTAAAGTGACGTTAGGAAAGGAAGTAGATGTTTGGTAACCTTCAATCAGCAGCTGATTTCTCCCATTGGTGAGTCAGTTAGTTTTCTATGGCCGCTGTAACAAATTACCACGAACTGATTGGCTTACAACAACACAGACTTAATATCTTATTGTTCTATAGTTCAGAAGCCTCAAATCAGTTTCACTTGGCTAAAGTCAAGTTGTAAAGGACTGATTCCTTCAGGAGGTTCTGAAGGGAAAACCCGTTTTCTTGCCTTTTTCTGCTTTTAGTGGTTACCTATATTCCCTGGATTGTGGCCCTTTCCTCCATTTTTAAAGCGTATCACTCCAATCTCTGCACAGTGCTATGGTTTGAATGTGTCCCCCAAAGTTCATGTGTTGGAAATTTAATCCCCAATGCAACACTGTTGAGAGGTGGGACCTTTAAGAGGAGATTAGGTCATGAAAGATCTTCCCTCATTAATAGAGTAATAATGTTATCTCAGCAGAGGGTTAATTATCATGGGGATGGGTTCCTAATAAAAGTATTGAGTTCAGCCCCCTTTCTCTCTTGATGTGATACCTTCCATCATGGGATGACACAGCAAGAAGACCCTCACCAGAAGCAGGCCCCTTGATCTTGACCTTCCCAGCCTCCAGAACTCTAAGAAATAAACCTGTTCTTTATAAATTACCCAGCCTCAGATATTGCATAGCAATACAAAAAAGACTAAGACACTCAGTCACCATCGCATTGCCATCTCCCCTGACTGCTGAGTCCCTCTTAAAAGAGCACTGTAGGCTGGATGTGGTGGCTCACGCCTATAATCCCAGCACTTTGGGATGCCAAGGTGGGCAGATCACGAGGTCAGGAGTTCGAGACTAGCCTGGCCAACATGGTGAAACCCCATCTCTACTGGAAAAACAAAAATTAGCTGGACATGTTGGCGAGCACCTGTAATCCAGCTGCTCGGAAGGCTGAGGCAAGAGAATCGCTTGAACCTTGGGAGGTGGAGTTGCAGTGATCCGAGATTGCATCATTGCACTCCAGCCTGGGCACCAAGAGCAAAAAACTCCATCTCAAAAAAAAAAAAAAAAAGCACTGTGATGGGACACTGGGCCCACAGGCAACATAGGATAAGTTCCCATCTCAAGATGCTTAATCACATCTGCAAAGTCCCTTTTGTCATGGAAAGGAACATAGTCACAGATTCCGGGGATTAAGTTGAGGACACTTTGGAGGGGCCATTATTCAGCCTGCCATGGAAGATATCATGAGAGGGAGTTAATACAAAATGCTCTGGAAACAGAGAAGGGCGGCCGGGCATGGTAGCTCATGCCTCTAATCCCAGTACTTTGGGAGGGAGGTGGGTGGATTGCCTGAGGTCAGGGGTTCAAGACCAGTCTGACCAACATGGTGAAAACCCATCTCTACTAAAAATACAAAAATTAGCTGGGCATGGTGGCAGGTGGCTGTAATCCCAGCTACTCAGGAGGCTGAGTCAGGAGAATCGCTTGAACCCAGGAGGCGTAGGTTGCAGTGAGCTGAGATTGCACCATTGCACTCCAGCCTGGGTGACAAGCATAAGATGATTGTCACCTTCATCTCGATTAAAAAAAGAAAAAAGAAAAAAGCAACAGAGAAAAGCTGGCTAACTCTCCACAGTGGGAAAAATGTCCCAGGAAACCACAGCCTCCACATTAAATATTCAAATGAGCTAAAACCCATCTAATTGGCAATCTCAGTCTTATTCCTTTAAACATGCAAACCACCTAAATTCCCAACAAACCCCCTACACCTGGCCAGCCAAGTCTCAGAATGCTTATATACCCTTTAATAGAAATTTTCAACCACCATCCCCATTTCCTAAGGAAATGGCTGTGTGCCCTCGAGCCTGCCTTGACTGAATCACCAGTGGCCTTTGAACCACGGCACTCAATTCATGGCATGGCCAGTGAGCTACAAAGTGTCCTAGCATCGACCAAGCAAAGTTATAAAAGCAGATTCAGTGGACAATAAGGAACATTAGCTTTAGAGTCAAAAAGACCTGGGTTGGGTCCCAGCTCTGCCATTTACCAGCTGCGCGACATCAGAAAAGTTACCTTCATCCTCCAACTTTGGTTTCCTCACCTGTGACATGACAGTGGCTAGAGGACCTCATAGAATCACTGTGAGGACAAGAGCAGCCAAGGGTAAGTCTTTGCACAGGGCCTCCCCGGTCATTATTGGGTCATCAAGACATAACCGTGCCTTATCTCCACTTCAAAAACCCAAACAGCTCTCAAAAATGAGTCATTGTAGCTCATTTGGAAGAAAAGACTGATATGAATCAATATGCAACTACCTATAATCTTTCTCTATCCCTCTTACTGTGAATATTTGCTGTGGAAATATTAACATGTTTGGTCTCCACTGGGGTAGGACTCCACATGTGTAGGACTCCACTGGGGTGCTACACATACACATAGTAGATATGCCTTACCACCTTCCGAAAATTGGGTAATTAAATTTCACAACTTATCTAGCCCAAAGGTTTCAGAGACTGTAGACCTGTATCTTTATGAGGGCAAGGATGAGAATATAACCTGGCCTGTTATTATGCACCAAGGTACCTGCTGTTCTCATGAAGATGTCAGCAGCCAGCCAGCCAGTCTCTACAAACTCCACCCCCAACCTCGCTATGCTCCTTTCCCTGGAACTTTCCAAGGGGCCCTTAGAATTTGCATTCAGCTCTCACAGGCTGAGACCAGGGTGACATCCTGGGAAACCTGCCTAGTGATAGCCAAGGTGTAGCTCCAGATGAAAGGCACACAACAACTTTAAATATAAAAAAACCATTCAGGCTAGGCATAGTGGCTCACGTGTGTAATCCCAGCACTTTAAGAGACCGAGGCAGGCGGATCACCTGAGGTCAGAAGTTCAAGACCAGGCTGGCCAACGTGGCAAAACCCTGTCTCTACAAAAAAATATAAAAATTAGCTTGGCATGGTGGCGCATACCTGTAATCCCAGCTACTCAGGAGGCTGAGGCACGAGAATCGCTTGAACCTGGGAAGCAGAGGTTGCAGTGAGCCAAGCTTGCACCACTACACTTCAGGCTGGGCAACAGAGTGAGACTCCGTCTCAAATAAATAAATAATAAAGCCATTCAACTAAAGAACCGATTATCAAGCAGAAGCACAAAGCCCAGGTTCCATCAGGTTTTTTATTGTACATCAGTGACTGTGAAAAAACAATTATTTCCATAATTAATATACAAACTATAAAAAAACAGACTCAAAGAAAAGAAAGATGACAGAGTGAAAGAAGGTACATTTCTTTCATGTTCAAACCACGGAGTTCACAACACAGCAGCACACACAGCCAGGCGCTTTGTGGTCTCGGCACCCTCGGCTTCCCCTTCACGAGGCCGCTTTTGACTAGTAGAAGGCTGAAAATAAAGGAAAATGGAGAAATATTCAAAAGAAAATCACTGGCTTCTTTAAGATTATCAAAGTTCCTCAATGTACTTCCAGTAAAGTGGGGGCATTTGATGTGAAATTCTAGTACCAAAAATTACTGGTTTTCATCATTGACAACTGAGTCCTCATCACAGCCCACAACTCAGACATGCTTATCTAATGGATATTTCTCTCCCTTATGGCTTCTGACCTCTGAATGATGTATACTGAAAGCAAGTAGCATAACCAACTTCCTCTTGATCATCCTCTTCTAAATATCAAGTTTAAAAGGACTACAATACCTCTCAGTTGAAGCCCCAAGTCTTGGTCTTTTGCGGGAAGACAACCTTTGTGCCTTAGTTGTTTTCCCATATACAAAATTGGGAGGAAGGCTGGGTGTGGTGACTCACACCTGTAATCCAAGCACTTTGGGAAGCCGAGGTGGGTAGGTCACTTCAGGTCAAAAGTTCGAGACAAGCCTGACCAACATGGCAAAACCCCATCTCACCTAAAAATACAAAAATTAACTGGGCACAGTGGCAGACACCTGTAGTCCCAGACACTCAGGAGACTGAGGCAGGAGAACTGCTTGAACCCAGGAGGCAGAGGTTGCAGTGAGCTGAGATTGCACCACTGCACTCTGGCCTGAGTGACAGACTAAGAGTCTGTCTCAAGAAAATAAAAATCGGGGGGGGGAGAAAACAGTGGGAAAAAGGACAGCTACCATTCAACAACAACAACAACAACAAAAAAGCAGGACTGGAATTAACTTATACTCACAAAGAACTTTAAAGAACAAAATTGTAATCAAGGAATCAACTACTGACCCAAATTTTAATTTTCCAACAAATTTATATTTGAGCCTCTAATAGAGTCTTTTGAAATTGCCTTGCAGGTGACCTTTTGGATGACAATCCCTAGCTGTGCTTATCTGTCTATTATGTGTTAGATATTAAACATATCCTGCAATTTTAAATCTAAGGGTGCTGGAGTGAATCAAGTTCAAACAGAGTTTCTACTACATTATAACTGAAACAATGTTAAGCAATTGCTACTCAGGAAAATCTTGAATTTCATCATCTTTGCTAATCAGCTCCTTAAGCCCAGACTATATTTAGTGATCATCAGGAATACGAATACCTGGGCTAGAACCTGAGATAGAGCTGTGGATTCATTTTCCTCAGACAGAAGATCTTGAAACTTTCTCTTCATGTCTTCATTCTGTGAGGGAATTAAAAACATAAGTAGCTGTGTCTGAAGGATAATAAACTCCTAGAATGACAGGGCTAGCATGCCCCTGTGGAAAGAGGGAGGAAAAGATGTCCTTCCAAGAATCATCCCCTTGATGAAGCTCCCACAGCGAAGGCATTATGTGTTGCCCCCCTCTACCTTCCCAGAGGAGTCCAATTAGCAGTCAATGCTCCATCAATCCTGGCTGACTCACATCCACATGCCTAAAAGCTCTCAGTGGGTCAATCACAGCCTCCAGCAGTCAAGAGTTTCTGAATTAACATCCCAGATCCTGAGAAAGGTGACAATCAGGGGGCCAGGGGCTGGGCCTGACTCCGTGCAGCTCCTCAAATCCTTCCGGGACCACTCTCCACCTGCTGCCCCTGCCATGAATGAGGCCAGTCACCCAGGCTGTCCTAACAACCAGCCCAGCACCCTAGGAAAATTCACCCAGCAGATGCCATACAAATTTTCAGAAGTACTTAAGGCCACAATATCCCAGAGCTCAGGTCTAATGAGAAAGGGAGACAATAAACATAACAAAGCATTACAGCTGTTTCATGCTGCAGGAGCGGGAGATGAGGAGGGCACAGACAGTGTGTATACGAGTAGCTCCCACCTCTCTGGATGCTTACTTCTGCAGGGTTCAAGGATTTGCATTAGGAAACCCTGAGAGGTGGTCTGGTGCAGCTCTCCCCATCTTCAGCAAGGTGAAAGGAACATCTATAAATAGGAATGTGGCCTTTGAGTGTTGGCCAGAAGCCCAGCTCAGCCACTCACAGGTGGCATGTGTGGAATACAGACCCAGAGTTATCTGATTCCAATGCCTCATGTACTTTCCCACCCAACTCCAGCCCCTCCTCCCACTGAGCCAAGCATACCACAGTGGGGAAAGGGAGAGGATACAGCAAAGTCCTCCACCATTTGGCAATTTGATGGATATGGAACTTTTACAACACTAGGTTGGGCATGGTGGCTCATGCCTATAATCCCAGCACTTTGGGAGGACAAAGTGGGAGAATTGCTTGAGGCCAGGAATTTGAGACCAGCCTGGGCAATATAGTGGGACTTTGTCACTACAAAAAAAAAAAATTAAAAATTAGGCCAGGCACGGAGGCTCACGCCTGTAATCCCAGCACTTTGGGAGGCCAAGGCGGGCAAATCACCTGAGGTCAGAAGTTTGAGATCAGCCTGGCTAACATGGTGAAACCCCGTCTCTACTAAAAATACAAAATTAGCCAGGTGTGGTAGTGCATGCCTGTAATCCCAGCTACTCAGGAGGCTGAGGCAGGAGAACCACTTGAATTCGAGAGGCGGAGGTTGCAGTAAGACAGGATCACACCACTGCACTCCAGCCTGGACAAAAGACTACGACTCTGTCTCAAAAAAAAAAAAAAATTAAATTAGCCAGACATGGTGGCATGCACCTGTAGTCTCAGCTACTTGGGAGGCTGGGGCAGGAGGATCACTTGAGCCTGAAAGTCATGGTGCAGTGATCATGCCGCTGCACTCCAGCCTAGGTGAGACAGCAAGACCCTGAGGAAGGAAGAAAGGAAAGAAGCAAGGAATTTAAAAGGGGGGGGATGAAAGAGGGGAGGGGGAAGGAAGGAGGAAGAAAGAAAGAAGGAAAGAAGGACCAGGCACAGTGGCTCACGCCTGTAATCCCAGCACTTTGGGAGGCCAAGGCGGGCAAATCACCTGAGGTCAGAAGTTTGAGATCAGCCTGGCTAACATGGTGAAACCCCGTCTCTACTAAAAATACAAAATTAGCCAGGTGTGGTAGTGCATGCCTGTAATCCCAGCTACTCAGGAGGCTGAGGCAGGAGAATCACTTGAATTCGAGAGGCGGAGGTTGCAGTAAGACAGGATCACACCACTGCACTCCAGCCTGGGCAAAAGACTACGACTCTGCCTCAAAAAAAAAAAAAAAAAAAAAATTTAAATTAGCCAGACACGGTGGCATGCACCTGTAGTCTCAGCTACCTGGGAGGCTGGGGCAGGAGGATCACTTGAGCCTGAAAGTCATGGTGCAGTGATCATGCCACTGCACTCCAGCCTAGGTGAGAGAGCAAGACCCTGAGGAAGGAAGGAAGGAAAGAAGCAAGGAAGGAAAAAGGGAGGGGGGATGAAAGAGGGGAGGGGAAAGGAATGGAGGAGAGGGGAGGGGGAAGGAAAGAGGAAGAAAGAAAGAAGGAAAGGAGGACCAGGCACAGTGGTTCACACCTGTAATCCCAGCACTTTGGGAGGCCAAGGCAGGGCAGATCACTTGAGGTCACTCTGTTTTGAGTTACTCAGTGTAGCTCCCCATTGCCATTTGACAGCAGCAAGCTCATCTGGATTCCTCTCCGCACCCTCTCACAGCCTTACTTAGGATCTCAATTATCTTGCAGTGTCACTCTCAAAAGTCCATCTCTTGGAAGCCCTTCAGTGAAGCCAAACAGAGTGGTCACAAGCCTAATCAGGCCTATATTTAAAACAAGTAATCAGGACAGGCGCAGTGGCTCATGCCTGGAATCCCAGCACTTTGGGAGGCCAAGGTGGGTGGATCACCTGAGGTCAGGAGTTTGAGACTAGTCTGACCAACATGGTGAAACCCCATCTCTACTAAAAATACAAAAATGGGCTGGGCATTGTGGCAGGCACCTGTAATCCCAGCCACTTGGGAGTCTGATGCAGGAGAATCACTTGAACCCAGAGGTGGAGGTTGCAGTGAGTTGAGATCACACCATTGCACTCCAGCCTGGTAGGCAAAAGCGAGACTCCATCTCAAAAAAGGCAATAAATAAATAAACATTGATTTTCTTCATGATGTCTACAATTATTCCAAAATATTAAATTAGCCAGGAACAGTGGCTCGTGCCTATTATCCAAGCACTTTATGAGGCTGAGGCGGGAGGATCCCTTAAGGCCAGGAGGTCGAGGCTGCCGTGAGCTATAATTGCACCAGTGCACTCCAGTTTGGGCAACAGAAGAAGACCTTGTCTCCAACAATAAATAAAATAAAAATTAAATTATAATATCCCTTGAAAGCAAACAGAAGTAATCCTCTATTTCAGGCAGTAAATACGAGGCAGACAGTAGATGTAAGGGATGCTCCCAAAACTGGGCACTCTGTTAATGACAAAACAGAGACCAGAATCCACATTCCCAACACTCAGTCCAGCGCCAGACCCACAAAACCATTTGGTTTTTGTGAAAACACTGAATTTTCCCAAAATAAAACCCAAACTATCACTAACAGATGTTTTAGATGGTCAGTCTTCATCCTCGTCTTCATTCAATGCTCATTCCTCCTTTTACTGCAAAAACAAAAGGTGGCTAGAAGAGTATTCCAGGGAGATCCTGCAACAGAGATGAACTACACCTTCTCCTTGGTTGTTAATAAGTTTTCTTTGAGATGAAGAAGTACAGGAAAAATGGGCTGTGCTTGCTCATAAATTTCAGGCAGATGCAAACCCTGTTCCCAGGCTCAACAGGCCAGCTCTGTTTTTTTTGCTGGAGATGAACACAGCTCCTGTACCTCTACATTTAGACCCAAGAGTTTCCCTATTAGGACACATGAAAAGAGCCAAAAGACATGTTTCTCTTTTTCATCAAAATTAAAATCCCCACATGCAAAGGCACCCTTTGTTTCCAAACCCCTTTCCTCCAGGGTCCCACTGTTTCAAATCTGTGTGGTCTATTAAATGCTAAATCATCTGACAGATTTCTTCTGGGGAGACTATAGTTTCCAGCGCAACATCCAAAACACATATATCTGTCTTTTTTTTTTTTTTTAAGTTTTTCTTGTTCTCAACCTGAGCTGGCCTGAGCAAAACTGTTAGGTGTAGAGTATTAGAACAGAGAATGGGGACAGTCTTCCCAGAGTCCCAGAAGTACGGGGCTGAGGCTGGATTGCCCAAGGAGTTCCTGGACCAGTAATCCCCAGAGAAACAGCATTTAGCTCAAGTAACAGCCTTTAGCTCAAGCTACGAGTTCTGTCCCCCATCTCCACAGAAAACGGATTGATACAGTTTGGCTTTATGTCCCTACCCAAATCTCATCTCAAATTGTATTATCCTGGTGGTGAGAAAGGGAACTGTTGAGAGGTGATTGTCTCATGGGGGCAGTTCCCCCCAGGCTATTCTCATGATAGTGAGTTCTCATGAGATCTGACAGTTTCATAAAAGGCTCTTCGCCCTTCACTTCCTTCACAAGCTCTCTCACCTGCTGCCATTAAGACACGCCTTCTTCCCCTTCCACCATGATTGTAAGTTTCCTGAGGCCTCCCCAGCCATGTGGAGCTGTGAGTCAATTAAACCTCCTTTCTTTATAAATTACCCAGTCTTGGGCAGTTCTTTATAGCAGTGTGAGAACAGACTAATACACAGACCAAAAGAAAATTAATAGAAAGGGGCATGGCTGTGTTGAATGGAACTGCTCATTACAGAAGACCAGACATCTATCAGAACACCTGCCCAATGCCGTAGCTAATTCCAAAACTAAAGATTAATCCAGCAAAGCCAAAACGTACTTCCAACTCTTGGCAGTTCCAAATGAGGTCAGCAT
This sequence comes from Homo sapiens, assembly GCF_000001405.40. Lineage (NCBI taxonomy): Eukaryota > Metazoa > Chordata > Mammalia > Primates > Hominidae > Homo > Homo sapiens. Next base: position 1,691,325 of record NT_187383.1, on the reverse strand, counting down.
TTAATAATGGCAGCCCCAACCCCTAGCAGGAGCAGAGCAGTAACACAGATGAAAAGTGCAGGTGACGGCCTTCACTAAGGACACATTTACTCACCTGAATGAACAAGCAGTGGGACCCTTTATACCCAGTCACTTGGGCTCAAGAAATAGCTGGATTCTCCCCATGGAGGCTGCCCTCCTCCCCCTCCCCCACTTCCCCGATTTAAGGTTGAAGATGGTTGGAATGCACCGCACCTATGAAGACCAGTGGACATGGCTGGGGTTAGAGCCAGAACAAGCCCTCAAAAGAACACAGGCCATACTGGAGACTTGGGACAGCCAAGTGGAACCAGAACAGGACATAAAGTGAGCTTGTACATCCAACAGCCATGAGTAACATCGAAAAGGTTGTAGCCTAGCCAACACGGCGAAACCCCATCTCTACAAAAAATACAAAAAGTAGTTGGGCTTGGTAGCATGCACCTTTAATCCCAGCTGCTTGGGAGGCTGAGGCAGGAGAATCACTTGAACCCAGGGGGCAGAGGTTGCAGTGAGCTGAGATCATGCCACTGCACTCCAGCCAGGGTGACAGAATGAGAACCTGTCTGAAAAAAGAAAAAAAAAAGACAGGTTGTAACCCATCCTCCAAGATACCCCCCATACATCTAAAACAATTAGATTAAACAGACTAAACATGTTTCTGTCCTCTGTCTCATGTCTCTCAGGCAGCAGGGCTTCCCATGTATTTTATGCTAGCAGGCACTGTCCCACACCCTCCTGAAGCCACGGTGTCTTAAGGCTTCTTCTGTCATAAAACGTGCCTTTGGATCCACTACCAACAACTTCTTGACAAGGTCCAGAGCTAAAGCAACAATTGGGCAAATCACAGTGAAAAGTATAAATATATTATCAGTAATAGTATGCCAGAATTAACAGGTCACCATCCAGAAAGAGCAGAGAGGGTCTGAGATCATCAGGGAGTCAGCAGACAGGGCCCCCTAATCTTCCTCATTCTCTGTATTCAGAGTACTGTGAGAAGGCCAGGAATGATAATGACACTCCCTGTCTCCTGCTGCTGGGACATCATTCACGACCTCTTCACCGCCTGTTCCCTCTCCTGTTGCTAGACTCAAGGTCAAACTAATTAAAGCTAAACTTCTACCCAATTCTAAGATACTTGGGATGCACAGCAAACTCTCCCTGACAGATGGATGGGTGAGAGTTACTCAGCCAGGGAGAGGCTCCCTGGAACTGCAGACTTGTCAGAAATAAAACTTGACTACTCCAGCAAGCAACAAATGCACGCTGGCCTGTAAATTACAACATAATTATTCCTTAAATATTCTGACATTTAACACAATCACCTATGTTATGTTATTTAACATTCAAGACCTAGAATATTATATAGGCTAGTGAATATTATCCTTCATCTCTGGAGTATGAAAAGGAGCGTAACTGGTGAAATTGCTGGTTTTTTGTTATCTGACTAAGTGTATTAACCAAATCCAGTGAACGTTTCTGTCTGCATCGTATTCAAGATCTTTGCAGCTTTTGACGCCAATGATCACTCTCTTATTGAAACACTTGTCTTTTTTTTTTCTAATTCTGAGGCACTACTTACTGGTTTTCTTCTTCCCTCACTGCTTCTTCCTTTCTTGTCTTCCATATTCCATTCTTCTTTTCCTAACTTCTAAATATGAAATATCACTCAGGACTTAGACCTGAGCCTTTTCCTCTTTTCCTTTTATATAGTTTGTCTATGTGGTCTCTTCAATATCCAAGATATCATATTTATGCATGCAACATTCTAATTCAAACATTATCTGGCCAGGCACAGTAGTTCACGCCTGTAATCCCAGCACTTTGGGGGCTGAGGCGGGCAGATCACCTGAGGTTGGGTGTTTAAACCAGCCTGGCCAACATGGTGAAACCCCATCTCTACTAAAAAATACAAAATTAACCAGACATCATGACATGCACCTGTAGTCCCAGCTACTCAAGAGGCTTAGGCAGGAGAATCGCTTGAACCCAGGAGGCAGAGGTCGCAGTGAGCCAAGATTGTGCCACTGCACTCCAGCCTCAAAATATAAATATATATATATATATAAAATCATTATAGATATAGTTGAAGCTTCCTATGTACTATTTTCCAACCTCATTCCTCTCCTTTTCCTGGAGGTACCAGCTATGCAGATAAAAGCAGAAATTAATGTCAGTAGCAGTGTGTTCATCATGTGTCTATGCCTTCATGACAAAGGAAGTTTAAAAACTTGTGTTCCTGGCTTCTGCATTGGGAAAGTAGTATTAATAATGTTAGAAATTCTCCAAACATGGGGTGACTTATTAAAACCTGCTCAGGCCAGGTGCCATGACTGATGCCTGTAATCCCAACACTTCGGGGCACCAAGGTGGAAGAATCATTTGAAGCCAAGAGTGTGAGGCTAGCTTGGGCAACATAGTGAGATTTCATCTCTACAAAATAAAAACATTTTAAAATTAGCTAGGCATTGTGGTGTGTGCCTGTAGTCCCAGCTACTCAGGAGGCTAAGGCAGAGGTTCCCTAGAACCCAGGAGGTCAAGGATGCTGTGAGATATATGATCGTGCCACTATTCCAACCCAGGCAACAGGGCAAGACCTTGTCTCCTTAAAAATAATAAAATAAAATAAAAGCTGCTTGGGCAAACTGTTAAACGTTTGCTTCTATTCCTGAGATACCCAACTGGTCCAGAATTATTTTAGAATACATTACTAGATTTACTATTATTTTATTTTAGATGTTTGTATCTAAGCTTAGTTTGGCCTCCAATTTTCTTGGATTATAATGATCTTAAATATTTATATTGCATTTATGTTAGCCTCACAAAATGAATTGAAGGTGTTCCCTCTTTTTCCATACTCTGAAATTATTTTGATATGATAGTGCTTATTTATATGTTCTTTGAATGTTTGGTAGAACTTTCATATTAAAGTATCTCATACTAGTGGGTGTTTTCTATGAGAAAGTATTTACTGATTGAATTTTTAAAAATAGATACATGAATATTCATGTGTCCCATTTCTTCTTGACTAAGTGTTTATAAGTTATAGTAGCCAACGAAGTTGTTCATTTCACTTATGTTTTTAGACTGTTGTCATATAGTCATTTATAGTATTCACTTTATTATTTTTTCACTCATATTTTATCTTACACTTCATTTTTTATTCCTAATATTGCTTATTTACACCTTCTCTTTTTAATTAATCAATGTTACCAGAAGAGTGCCTATTTTATTATTCTTTTCAAAGAATCAGCATTTGGTTTTGTGAATCTTGCCTATTGTTTCTTTGTTTTATAGTTTATTAATGTCTATTTCTACTTTTAGCCTTATTTCCTTTAATTTATTTTATTTAGGTTTACTCCAATTTTTTTTTTTTTTTTTTTTTAGACAGAGTCTTGCTCTGTTGCCCAGGCTGCAATGCAGTGGCCCAATCTCGGCTCACTGCAACCTCTGCCTCCCTGGCTCAAGCAATTCTTCTGCCTCAGCCTCCCGAGTAGCTGGGATTATAGGCACCCACCACCACACCCAGCTAATTTTTGTATTTTCAGTAGAGACAGGGGTTTCACCATGTTGGCCAAGCTGGTCTTGAACTCCCGACCTCAGGTAATCCGCCCTCCTTGACCTCCCAAAGTGCTGGGATTACAGGCCTGAGCCACCATGCCCAATCTCTTTTTCTCTTTCTAAACTTCCTAAGGTGGACACTTAACTAATTTTCAGCCTATTTTTCAATATAAACATGTAAACATATAAATTACCCTTTCAGTACTGCCTCAGCTCTATCTCAGAAGTTTTGTTATGTAGTATTTCACATCCAAATATCTTCTGATTTTCATTTTCATGTCTTCTTTGACTGAAAAATTATTTAAGGTATGCCTTTAGTTTGAAGATGAAAGAAATTTACATTTTTTTCTCTAATAAATTGCATTTTGGTTACAGAGTATAGGCCACATGTTATAATGTTTGTTTATTTGTTGTGATTTGATTCATAGGCTAGCATAGGTTCAGTTCTCCTAAGACTTTATCAGGCTTCAAAGTATATATATATTCTCTAATTTGAGCATACAGCAGTCTATATATTTCCTTTACATTAAGCTTTTTAAATACAGTGGTAAAAATCTGAGATAATCTTACTACATTTTGATTATCATTGACTCAGAGGTTTAAGTTTCTTCAAAGTTGAGGATTTAGCCATTTTTCTTTGTAATTCTGCCAATTTGTGCTTCATATATTTTACGGTTGAATTGTTACATGCATACATGTCTTTACATAATGACTTTTATTCCTCAGAATGTTTTTTTGTCTTAAATTATAGTTTTTGATATGAAAATAGCTATATCAGCCATATATTGGTTAATATTTGTTTTATTTATCATTTACTCATCTCATACCTTCAGAATTTTGTGTCTTCATGTTTTTAACTATTACGGGTTATACCTGGATTTTCACATTTTTATCCAGTCTTCAAGTGTCTGTCTTTAACTAATTTAGATGATTTAAGTTTATTGTGGTTATGGATAAATTTATATTTACTTCTGTCATCATATATTGTGCTTTCTGTTAACCATATTATTTCTCCAATTCTTTTCCCCAATGCATTCTATTAGATTGATCAAGGTTTTTCCCCTTTATTTGTTTAAAAGTTGTATGTTCTAGTTCTATTCTATTCACAATTACCCTTGAAATGTAATATGTGTACTTGAATTAACAAGTAATTTAAAAAACTAATTGTAAAATTAAAATCACTAGTTTCATCTTGAAGGATGCATTAATTTTGATCACCCTCATTCATCCCCAACTTACTGTTTTCCAGTACTTTTGTTCCAATTTATATTTTATCAGCTTTTTTGAGGTATAATACACAGCGCACAAAATTTATTTATTCTAAATGCACATTTCGATGAGTTTTGGCAAATTTATAGAGTTGTACAACAATTACAAAAATTCAGTTTTTGAATACTTACATAATCTCAAAAAGTTTCCTCTGCTTATTTGCATTAAATCCTCACTCCCACCTACCCAAGTCCCAAGTAACAAATGATCTGCTTTCTTTATAGATTTGCCTTCCATGAAAAGTTACATAGATTGGCTGGGCACAGTGGCTCATGCCTGTAATCCTAGCATTTTGGGAGGCCAAGGCGAGCAGATCACCTGAGCCCAGGAGTTCAAGACTAACCTAGGCAACATGGTGAAACCCCATCTCTACTAAAAACACAAAAATTAGCTGGGCATGGTGGCGCACCTGATAGCTACTCGAAGGCTGAAGTGTGATGGATTACGTTAATTGATTTGCGTATATTGAACCAGGCTTGCATCCCAGGGATGAAGCTGACTTGATAGTGGTGGATAAGCTTTTTGATGTGCTGCTGGATTCGGTTTGCCAGTATTTTATTGAGGATTTTTGCATTGATATTGATATTGGTCATCAGGGATATTGGTCTAAAATTCTCTTTTTTTTGTTGTGTCTCTGCCAGGCTTTGGTATCAGGATGATGCTGGCCTCATAAAATGTGTTAGGGAGGATTCCCTCTTTTTCTATTCATTGGAATAGTTTCAGAAGGAATGGTACCAGCTCCTCTTTGTATCTCTGGTAGAATTCGGCTGTGAATCCATCTAGTCCTGGACTTTTTTTGGTTGGGAGGCTAATTAATTATTGCCTCAATTTCAGAGCCTGTTATTGTTCTATTCAGGGATTCGACTTCTTCCTGGTTTAGTCTTGGGATGGTGTATTTGTCCAGGAATTTATCCATTTCTTCTAGATTTTCTAGTTTATTTGTGTAGAGGGGTTTGTAGTATTCTCTGATGGTAGTTTGTATTTCCATGTGATCAGTGGTGAAATCCCCTTTATCATTTTTTATTGCATCCATTTGATTTTTCTCTCTTTTCTTCTTTATTAGTCTTGCTAGTGGTCTATCAATTTTGTTGATCTCTTCAAAAAACCAGCTCCTGGGTTCATTGATTTTTTGAAGGGTTTTTTGTGTCTCTATCTCCTTCAGTTCTGCTCTGATCTTAGTTATTTCTTGCCTTCTGCTAGATTTCGAATTTGTGTGCTCTTGCTTCTCTAGTTCTTTTAATTGTGATGTTAGGGTGTCAATTTTAGATCTTTCTTGTTTTCTCTTGTGGTTATTTAGTGCTACAAATTTCCATCTACACACTGCTTTAAATGTGTCCCAGAGATTCTGATATGTTGGGTCTTTGTTCTCGTTGGTTTCAAAGAACATCTTTATTTCTGCCTTCATTTCGTTATTTACCCAATAGTCATTCAGGAGCAGGTTGTTCAGTTTCCATGTATTTGTGTGGTTTTGAGTGAGTTTCTTAATCCTGAGTTCTAATTTGATGGCACTGTGGTCTGGGAGACAGTTTGTTGTGATTTCTGTTCTTTTACATTTGCTGAGCAGTGTTTTACTTCTAACTATGTGGTCAATTTTGGAATAAGTGAGATGTGATGCTGAGAAGAATGTACATTCTGTTGATTTGGGGTGGAGGGTTCTGTAGATGTCTATTAGGTCTGCTTGTTGCAGAGCTGAGTTCAAGTCCTGGAAATCCTTGTTAACATTCTGTCTCATTGATCTGTCTAATATTGACATTGGGGTGTTAAAGTCTCTCATTATTACTGTGTGGATGTCTAAGTCTCTTTGTAGGTCTCTAAGGACTTGCTTTAAGAATATGGGTGCTCCTGTATTGGGTGCATGTATAGTTAGGATAGTTAGATCTTCTTGTTGCATTGATCCCTTTACCATTATATAAAGGCTTTCTTTGTCTCTTTAATCTTTGTTGGTTTAAAGCCTGTTTTATCAGAGACTAGGATTGCAATCCCTGCTATTTTTTTCTTTCCATTTGCTTCGTAGATCTTCTTCCATCCCTTTATTTTGAGCCTATGTGTGTCTCTGCACGTTAGATGGGTCTCCTGAATACAGCACACTGATGTGTCTTGACTCTTTATCCAGTTTACCAGTCTTTGTCTTTTAATTGGGGCATTTAGCCCATTTACATTTAAGGTTAATATTGTTATGTGTGAATTTGATCCTGTCATTATGATGTTAGCTGGTTATTTTGCTCATTAGTTGATGCAGTTTCTTCCTAGGATTGATGGTCTTTACAATTTGGCATGTTTTTGTGTGGCTGGTACTGGTTATTCCTTTCCATGTTTAGTGCTTCCTTCAGGAGCTCTTGTAAGGCAGGCCTGGTGGTGACAAAATCTCTCATCATTTGCTTGTCTATAAAGGAGTTTATTTCTCCTTCGCTTATGAAGCTTAGTTTGGCTGGATATGAAATTCTGAGTTGAAAATTCTTTTCTTTAAGAATGTTGAATATTGGCCCCCACTCTCTTCTGGTTTGTAGGGTTTCTGCCAAGAGACCTGCTGTTAGTCTGATGTGCTTCCCTTTGTGGCTAACCCGACCTTTCTCTCTGGTTGCTCTTAACGTTTTTCCTTTCATTTCAACCTTGGTGAGTCTGACAATTATGTGTCTTGGTGTTGCTCTTCTTGAGGAGTATCTTTGTGGTGTTTTCTGACCCTAACATCACAATTAAAAGAACTAGAAAACCAATAGCAAACACATTCAAAAGCTAGCAGAAGGCAAGAAATAACTAAGATCAGAGCAGAACTGAAGGAAATAGAGACACAAAAAACCCTTCAAAAAATTAATGAATCCAGGAGCTGGTTTTTTGAAAAGATCAACAAAATTGATAAACTGCTGGCAAGACTAATAAAGAAGAAAAGAGAGAAGAATCAAATAGACACAATAAAAAATGATAAAGGGTATATCACCACTGATGCCACAGAAATACAATCTACCATCAGAGAATACTACAAACACCTGTACACAAATAAACTAGAAAATCTAGAAGAAATGGATAAATTCCTCGACACGTACACCCTCCCAAGACTAAACCAGGAAGAAGTTGAATCTCTGAATAGACCAATATCAGGCTCTGAAATTGTGGCAATAATCAATAGCTTATCAACCAAAAACAGTCCAGGACCAGATGGATTCACAGCCGAATTCTACCAGAGGTACAAGGAGGAACTGGTACCATTCCTTCTGAAACTATTCCAATGAATAGAAAAAGAGGGAATCCTCCCTAACTCATCTTATGAGGCCAGCATCATCCTGATACCAAAGCCTGGTAGAGACACAACCAAAAAAGAGAATTTTAGACCAATATCCTTGATGAACATTGATGCAAAAATCCTCAATAAAATACTGGCAAACAGAATCCAGCAGCATAGCAAAAAGCTTATCCACCATGATCAAGTAGGCTTCATTCCTAGGATGTAAGCCTTGTTCAACATATGCAAATCAATAAATGTAATCCAGCATATAAACAGAACCAAAGACAAAAACCACATAACTATCTCAATAGATGCAGAAAAGGCCTTTGACAAAATTCAGCAACACTTCATGCTAAAAACTCTCAATAAATTAGGTATTGATGGGACATATCTCAAAATAATAAGAGCTATCTATTACAAACCCACAGCCAATATCATACTGAATGGGCAAAAACTGGAAGCATTCCCTTTGAAAACTGGCACAAGACAAGGATGCCCTCTCTCACCATTCCTATTCAACATAGTGTTGAAAGTTCTGGCCAGGGCAATTAGGCAGGAGAAGGAAATAAAGGGTATTCGATTAGGAAAAGAGGAAGTCAAATTGTCCCTGTTTGCAGATGACATGATTGTATATCTAGAAAACCCCAGTGTCTCAGCCCAAAATCTTCTTAAACTGATAAGCAACTTCAGCAAAGTCTCAGGATACAAAATCAATGTACAAAAATCACAAGCATTCTTGTACACCAATAACAGACCAACAGAGAGGCAAATCATGGGTGAACCCCCATTCACAATTGCTTCAAAGAGAATACAATACCTAGGAATCCAACTTACAAGGGACATGAAGGACCTCTTCAAGGAGAACTACAAACCACTGCTCAATGAAATAAAAGAAGATACAAACAAATGGAAGAACATTCCATGCTCATGGGTTGGAAGAATCAATATTGGAAAAAAACTACTTTAAAGTTCATATGGAACCAAAAAAGAGCCCACATCGCCAAGTCAATCCTAAGCCAAAAGAACAAAGCTGGAGGCATCACACTACCTGACTTCAAAGTATACTACAAGGCTACAGTAACCAAAACAGCATGGTACTGGTACCAAAACAGAGATATAGATCAATGGAACAGAACAGAGCCCTCAGAAATAATGCCGCATATTTACAACTATCTGATCTTTGACAAACCTGACAAAAACAAGCAATGGGGAAATGATTCCCTATTTAATAAATGGTGCTGGGAAAACTGGCTAGCCATATGTAGAAAGCTGAATCTGGATCCCTTCCTTACACCTTATACAAAAATTAATTCAAGATGGATTAAAGACTTACATGTTAGACCTAAAACCATAAAAACCCTAGAAGAAAACCTAGGCAATACCATTCAGGTTATAGTCATGGGCAAGGATTTCATGTCTAAAACATTCTCCCCATCACTTTCAAGTACACCAATCAAACTTAGATTTGGTCTTTTCACATAGTCCCATATTTCTTGGAGGCTTTGTTCATTTCTTTTTACTCTTTTTCTCTAAACTTCGCTTCTCACTTCATTTCATTTATTTGATCTTCCATCACTGATACCCTTTCTTCCACTTGATTGAATCAGCTACAGAAGCTTTTGCATGCATCATTTAGTTCTTGTGCCATGGTTTTCAGCTCCATCAGGTCATTTAAGGTCTTCTCTATGCTGTTTATTCTAGTTAGCCATTCATCTAATCTTTGTTCAAGGTTTTTAGCTTCCTTGCAATGGGTTCGAACATCCTCCTTTAGCTCAGAGAAGTTTGTTATTACTGACCTTCTAAAGCATACTTCTGTCAACTCATCAAAGTCATTCTCCATCCAGCTTTGTTCCATTGCTGGCAAGGAGCTGCAATCCTTTGGAGGAGAAGCGGCGCTCTGTTTTTTTGAATTTTCAGCTCGTCTGCTCTGGTTTCCCCCCATCTTTGTGGTTAGATCTACCTTTGGTCTTTAATGATGGTGACCTACAGATGTGGTTTTGGTGTGGATGTCCTTTTTGTTGATGTTGTTCCTTTCTGTTTGCTAGTTTTCCTTCTAACAATAAGGACCCTCAGCTGCAGGTCTGTTGGAGTTTGCTGGAGGTCCACTCCAGACCCTGTTTTCCTGAGTGTCACCAGTGGAGGCTGCAGAACAGCAAATATTGCTGCCTGATCCTTCTTCTGGAAGCTTCATCTCAGAGGGACACCTGGCTGTATGAGGTGTCAGTAAGTCCCTACTGGCAGCTCTGTCCATTCTCAGAGTTCAAACTCCATGCTGGAGAACCACTGTTCTCTTCAGAGCTGTCAGACAGGGATGTTTAAGTCTGCAGAAGTTTCTGCTGCCTTTTACTCAGCTATACCCTGCCCCGAGAGGTGGAGTCTACAGAGGCTGCCAGGCCTCATTGAGCTGCAGTGAGCTCCACCTAGTTCAGGCTTCCCAGCTGCTTTGTTTACCTACTCAAGCCTCAGCAATGGTGGACGTCCCTCCCCCAGCCCAGGCTGCCACCTTGCAGTTCGATCTCGGACTGCTGCACTAGCAGTAAGCAAGGCTGTGTGGGCATGGGACCTACCAAGCCATACATGGGATATAATCTCCTGTGTGCCGTTTGCTAAGACCACTGGAAAAGCACAGTATTAGGGTGGGAGTGTCCAGATTTTCCAGGTACCGTCTGTCACGGCTTCCCTTGGCTAGGAAGGGAAATCCCCGACCACTTGTGCTGCTTCCCAGATGAGGCAACGCCCTGCCCTGCTTTGGCTCACCCTCTGTGGGCTGCACCCACTGTCCGACCCGTCTCAGTGAGATGAACCAGGTACCTCAGTTGGAAATACAGAAATCACCTGTCTTCTATGTCAATTATCCTGAGAGCTGCAGACAGGAGCTGTTCCTATTCGGCCATCTTGGAACGATCCTCTCTTTTCATTTATTTAAGAAATATTTGAAAAGCAAAGATTTCATCATTTTGGTGAAGTCCAATTTATCTGTTTTTCTTTTATGGAACATGTTTTTGATATTATATCTAAGAAACCTTTTCTTAGTCTGAGGTCATAAATATTTTCTCCTATTTTTTTTTCCTAGAAGTTTTACAGTTTTAGCTCATACAATTAGGTCTATGATCCATTTTAGTTAATTTTCGTATATGACCTAAGGATCTAGGTTTAGTTTTTGTAAATGAATAACCAGTTCTTATAGAATCATTTGTTGAAAGAACATCTTTCTCCTATTGAATTGTCTTAGCATCTTTGATGAAAATTAATTGACTATTTATGTGGGTTGGATTCTGAACTCCACTTAGTTCCATTGATCTATCTATCTCTCTTAATGTGGATTCTACACTGTCTTAACTACTGTTGCTTTACACTGAATTTTAAAATAAGGCAGTATTAAGTACTCTAACTTCATTCTTACTTAGCAAGATTGTTTTGGCTATTCTAGGTATTTTTGTATTTCTATATAATTTTAAAATCAGCGTGTCAATTTTTCCAATCTTTCTAGACTTTTGGCAGGAATTTCAGTTAATTTGTAGATCAATTGACATCTAACAATATTGAGTCATCTAATCCATTAACATGATATATCTCTCCATTTATTTAGGCATTTATCTGAGTGATGTTTTTTAGTTTTCAGTGCAAAGGTTTCACACTTATTTTGTTAAATTTATTCCTAATTATTATTGCTATAGTTTGAGTGTCTCTACCAAAACGCATGTTGGAACGCTTAAGAGGTAGGGCCTATTGGGAAGTGTTTGGGTCTTGGGAGCTCTTCCTTTGTGGGAAGCTTGGTACTATTCTTACACTGGTGAGTGAGTTCTCACTCTTGTGAGATTAGTTCTCTCAGGAATGGATTAGTTACCATGAGAATGAATTGCTATACGGTGAGGTCAGGCTTCATGCTTGGCCTCCTGGTACTTGCCTACTCCCCTTTGACCTTATTCTAACATGTTGTGACACAACACTAAAGCTTTCACCAGAACCCAAGCAGATGCCAGTGTCATTCTTTCCAGCCTGCAGAACTGCAAGCCAAATATACCTCTTTATAAATTACTCAGTCTCCGGTATTCTGTTACAGCAACACAAAACGGACTAAGACAGAAAATTGGTACTGAAAGTGGGATGTTGCTATTTAGATTTTCAAAAATGCAGAAGCATCATTGGAACTGGGTAATGCGCAGAAGTTGGAAAAGTTTGAAGGAGCAGACTAGAAGAAGACTGTATTGCCATAAACAGAGCATTAAGGATAATTTCAGTGAGGGCTCAAAAGACAACAAAAAGATGAGAGAAAGTTTAGAATTTCTCAGAGATTGGTTAAGTAGTCATTACCACAATGCTGATAAAAATATGGACAGCAAAGGCCATTCTAATGAGATCTCAGATAGAAATGAGGAACAAGGTATTAGGAACTGGAGACCAAGTCATCCTTGTTAGACCATAGCAAAAATTTGGCTGTGTTGTTTCTAAGGCTTTGTGCCCTAAGGTTTTGTGGAAGGCCAAACTTAAGAGTGATGAACTAGGGTACCTGGCAGAAGAAATTTCTAAGCAAAATATAGAGCAGCTATGTAGTTACTCCTTACTACATTCAGTGAAATGCAAAATGACAATGGAAGCAAACACAAAAATTTGAAAATTAATAGCCTGGCCATGTGGAAGAGAATGAAAGAGCATTTTCAGGTGAAGAATCCAAGGGTGCAGCAGAACAACCAATACTAAAGAGATTAGCACTGAGAGAAGAAAACCAGTTGACAATTATTGAGACAATTTTTTTAAAGGCCCTGAAGACATTTCAGAAATTTTTGAGGTTGCCTCTCCAGAGGTCTAGGAGGACAGAATGGTTTTAAGAGACAGAACCCATGCATCACTGCCCTGTGCTGTTTTGAGATCCTGCTCCCCAAATTCTGGCACAGCCCTCAGCAGCCACCCAACCCATGGCACAATCATACTCAGGTGTGGCTCAGGCTGCCATTCCACAAGATACAAACCATAAACCTTGGTGACACACAGTCATGGATCAAGCAGCCTCAGATACAGCTCATGACAGCACTCTGGAGGGTGCAAGCGGTAAGCCTTGATGGCTTTTACAACCTTGTGGTACTATTTTTGCAGATGTGCAGAATACAAGAGAAGTGGAGGCATGGTGGCTGCCACCTAGATTTTAAGGAATGTACTGAAAAGACTGGGAGCTCAGGTGGAGACTTGTTGCAGGGCCAGAGCCACTGCAGTGTACCTCCCCTAGGGCAAAGCTGAGGAGAAATGTAGGGTTGGAGCTGCCACAAAGAGTCTGTACCAGGGCAATGCCCAGTGAATCCACGAAGTGGACCACCACTGGGACTCCAGAACTATAGAGCCATTGCCACCATGCAACCTCAGCCTGGAAAGGCCACAGGTATCCAACTCCAACCAGTGAGAGTAGCCATGTGGCTATGCCCAACAAAGCAATGGAGGTGGGGCTGCCCAAGGCTTTAGGGATAAAAACTCCCCACTGTGCCCAGGAGGTAGCACATAGAGTGGAGAATTATTCTGGAGCTTTAAGATTTAGTGTATGCCCTGCTGAGTTTTGCACTTGCTCGAGGTCTGTCACCTCTTTCTTCTTTTGGCTTATTTCTCCCTTTTGGAATGGGACTGTCTGCCATATGACTATTCCACCATTGTATCTTGGAAGTAAATAACTTGTGTTTTTTTATTTTTATTTTTATTTTACAGGCTCATAGCTAGAAGGAATTTGCTTTGAGTCTTATATGAGACTTTGGGCTTTGACCTTTAAATTGTTACTGGAATAAATTAACACTTTGGGGACCATTGAGATTGAATAATTACATTTTGTAGTGTAAGAGGGACATGAGTTTGGGGTTCCAAGGGTGAAATGCCATGGTTTCCGTGTTTCTGTCAAAAATCATGTTGGAACCTTTAAGAGGTAGGGCCTAATGGGAGATGCTTGGGTCATGCGGGCTCTGCCATTTTAAGCAGCTTCGTGCAGTCCTCATATAGTGAGTGAGTTCTTGCTCTCATGAAACTGGATTGGTTCCTGTGGAAATAGATTAGTTGCCCTGAGAATGGATTGTTATAAAGCAACCCATTGTACAAGGTTGTACCTTGTGTTTGGCCTCTTGGCACTTTCCCACTTCCTCTTTGGTCTTCTGCCATGTTGTGATGCACTGCTAAAGCCCTCACCAGAAGCTAAGCAGATACTGGTGCCATGCTTCTTGAACTTCCCAGTCTGGAGAAACATGAGCTAAATAAACCTCTTCGTACAGTCTCAGGTATTCTATTATAACAACATAAAACAAACTAAGACATTTATTTTTGATGCTATTGTGATTGGAATTGTTTTCTTTATTTCATCTTTGTATTGTTTGTTGCTACTATATATATAACCAATTTTTGTATATTGATCATATACTCTACAAACTTACTAAGCCCCCCTCTTAGTTCTAGTAAGTCTGGGAGGGGGTGTGGTATGTGGGTGTGTGTGTGGGTGTGTTCCTTAGGATTTTCTGCATACAAGGCTAACAATAAAAAGAGTTGTCTTTTTTCCATACCTTTTTTCCTTGACTATTGCACAAACTAAGACCTGTGGTGCATTGTTAAATAGAAGTGGTAAACACAGATATCTTTGCATGTTTCCTAATCTAGAGGGAAGCACATTCTTACCATTAAATATGTTGGCTATAGGCTTCTGGTAGATGCCTTGATCATTTGAAGAAGTTCCCTTCTATTCATAAGTTGATGAGATTTTTTTTAATGTATGATTGTTGAATTCTGTCAAATGCTTTTCTGCATCTATTGAGGTGATCATATGGTTTTGTCCTTTATTCTGTTAATATAGTTTATTACATTGATTTTCGGATGTTAAGTCAACCTCACATTCCTGAGATAAACTTCATTTGATTATGGTATAAAATCCTTTTCATATGTTGCTCAATTACATTTGCTAATATTTGGTTAAGAATTTTTATGTCTAGGTTCACAAGGGATATTGGTATATAGCTGTGTTTGCTTGTAATGTCTTTGTCTTGTTTTGATATCAGGGTAATATTGATATCAAATGAAATAAGGTTAGTTGGGAAGTTTCCTTCATCCTCTATTTGCTGAATAAAGTTTTTGTAACATTGGTATTATTTCCTCCCTTAGTAGTTTGATAGAATTCACCAGTGAAGTATATTTTTTCTCTATAGGAAGATTTGAAATTACTGATGCAATTTCTTTACTTGATATTGGTATTTGTTTTTTTTTCTTTTTCCTTGAGTCAGTTTTGGTAATTTGTGTCTTTCAAGGAATTGTTCTATTTTATCTAAGTTGTCAAATTTTTTGCCTTAAAGTTATTATGCTATTTTCTTAACATCCTTTTAAGGGTAGGGTCTGTGGTGATATTTCTCTTTGATTCTTGATTTTGGGATTAGTGTCTTCTTTCTTTTTTCTTGGTCAATTTAACTAAATATTATTTATCTTCTTGACTTTCTGAAATAAGCAATTTTGGGTTTCTTTGGTTGTTTTTAACGTTATCCTGTTCTGTATTTCTCGTTTTCCACTGTGACATTTTTATTTCATACATCCTACTTACTTTCGGCTTGGTTTACTCATCTTTTTCTAGAGTCTTAAGATGGAAGTTTTGCTTATCAATTTTAGATTATTTTTTCTTTCTGTTTTTAAAGCTATACATTTTCCTCTATACTCTGCTTTAATTGCATCCTGTAAATATTGCTATGTTTTTGGTTTTTTGTATTTTAAGTTTATAACATTTTATTTATAAAAATAGGCTGGGGGAAAAGGATTTATACCACTGCATTCTTTCCTGGGGGAGAACTATTTTGGGCCATTTTTGAAATTTTTTTTCCTCTTAACAATTTTCAGAGTCACATTTGAATTC